>NT_187648.1:0-214158 GCF_000001405.40 Homo sapiens
AAGCTTATTCTCAAAGTCCTTAACTTACATCTATCAAGGTCATTTTTTGCTATCTATCATAAGGTAGAATCCTTATGATATGGCTCCAATGACTGGAGGAACAGCAGGGTTCTTTCTGTCTCACACTGCTTTGGATAAAATGCCACAGAAAGATGTGTAGTGGTTTTAAGGAGAGAAAAGTTTAATACGTAAGAAGGAAGGAATAATAAAATGGCTAAACAGCTACCCTGTACAGAGACAGAGGGACAGGGGATTCCAACAAAGAGAAAAGTCCATCTGTGGTGGAAAAGTGGCTGCTTATATGAGGAGAATGAAGGAGGTGGTGTCTGATTTGCAAAGGGCTCAAGGGATTGGTTTGACCAGGCATGTTATTCACATAGCCTGAGCAAAAACTGGCCCTCCCACCCTAGCCTTTCAATATGCACATGTAGGGCATCATAATGTTCTACGCACATGGGGATATGTGGGGGCAGCCATGTTGCCAGGCACATGTAGGGGTAAGGAAGAAGAAGGTAGGAATAGCCATGTTAGGGTGGACCCAGTTTCTAATGGCCTTCATTTGCATATCAAATCTTGCCAGCCTGGCTCTAAGAGCCGGAGCTTTCCTATTAGACAAGAAACATGTCTGGAGTTGCTTTAAAAGAAACAAAATCTTACCAAGGATGCCTTTTCCTCTCTATCTGCCTAAAATAATTTCTTAATAACTCCTATAAAACTTGGGTTCCAGAGACGAGGACCTGGATATCTTTTGGGGTGGGGACATTATTCATTCCACCAAAAATTAATATATTCTCCAAAATTGTCCTTCTTTAAAGTAAAATTTAAAAAATAACAAAGTATTTTTATGAAGCAAGAGAGCGGTACAAAATCTGAGACTTAGAGTCTGACTTATAAATCCTCTAACTTGTGAGTTTTAGCTGTTGGGGTATGCTCACTCCACTCCTTTATCTCACTCCTTTATCTGCTTAAAAGCAGCTTCTCCAGAAGGAAACTGATTGTCAAGAAAATTCTTCCTGGGAAATTTTATATCAGGGAAGATTAACACAAAATAGGAATCAAAAATAGAAGAGATTAGAAGTTGATGTTTTATCCAGACAGGCCTGTTCTTTTGAGGATGCACTTCTATCCTCATCTATTCTCTCCAGGTTGCCTACACTTCCCAATTACCTCTTCGCTAGAAAGGAAGTATGAAAAACTGGATCTCATTGAGTTATCTGAGTAATCACACCGTTATGATATCCCACTGCACTTTAAGTGAATTTTGCTTGCCTTTTCTCTTATTAGTCTTTCTTTTGTCAGTTCATTTTCAGCAAACATTTAGAGGACAAATGGAGCTTTCTTCCTTTCTCCCAATATAAGCAAGTTCCCTTAAAATTCAGGTGGCTTACAAAACAGCAGGAAGGTTTGTGCTTGGGCTACAGCACTGTGATTTGTCTCCCCTAGTCAGGCATCAGTAAAATTTTGTGGAGTCCTAGGCTGCAGCCCACTGATGCTGATGTAGTTGGATCCACGTCCCCTGCTACTAAGCCAGGCTGGGACATTTTTGGCACAGTAGAGATGTGAGACATAATGAGTGCAAATCCATGTCCAGGTTCATATGGATCCAGCTGATTTCTCCATGTAAGTTGGCAATTGCTTGATAAGGGATTGTCTCTTTCCTAAAGATGTTAACAGGGAGGCTGGTGTCTGGGTCAGGATGATGTCCCTGATAAAACGTAAAAGAAGAAAGTGGCATTGTTGGTGCATGACAGGGACATGCTCCATGCAGTGGTCACCCTCAATAAGAGAGAAGAACTTTGGAAAGTAATACTCAATGACAGAAAAGAAGGTAGACAATGAAGGTGCCCAAAACAAGAATAAGGTGAAGTGAATTTAGTCTCTGGGTATTAAAGAGACCTGTAGCTCTTGATAATGGTGGATGTGTGAGTGCTGCATGCATTGAGGAAACTCGGTATCATCTCTCTGTATCTGTAGTAAATTGCTTGATCTTATAGTGATAAGAACAATGGCATAACACCATTACCTAATACTTACAAATATGTATAGCATCATGTCAATAAATTTTATTTTTAATATTTTTAGAAAGGAACAATGTTAAAGCTCACAGAAATGTTGCAAGTATAGGACAAAGTACCTCCTTCCCTAACCCGAATCATATGAGAGTCTTTTGAAGTCCTGAGAATCATACTGTTTAACATTTTACTATGTATTTCCTACAAACAAGATATTCTAAATAATCCCCATACACCAATGAAATACATTACTCCGTCGACTCCTGAGGAATATTTCAAATTTTCAAAAAAATACATAAAAAATGTTTCTCATAACAAACTACTCTCCAGTAGAAACACATTCACTGCAGACAAATTTGTGCTACCCTGGTCTTTCCTGGGACACCTGGGGACACTGAGCTGGTGCTGAGTTACTGAGATGAGCCAGCTCTGCAGCTGTGCCCAGTCAGCCCCATCCCCTGCTCATTTGCATGTTCCCAGAGCACAACCTCCTGCACTGAAGCCTTATTAATAGGCTGGCCACACTTCATGCAGGAGTCAGACCCAGTCAGGACACAGCATGGACATGAGGGTCCCCGCTCAGCTCCTGGGGCTCCTGCTGCTCTGGCTCCCAGGTAAGGAAGGAGAACACTATGAATTTACTCAGCCAATGTGCTCAGTACAGCCTGGCCCTTCAGGGAAATTCTCTTACTACATGATTAATTGTATGGATATTTGTTTTTATGTTTCCAATCTCAGGTGCCAGATGTGTCATCTGGATGACCCAGTCTCCATCCTTACTCTCTGCATCTACAGGAGACAGAGTCACCATCAGTTGTCGGATGAGTCAGGGCATTAGCAGTTATTTAGCCTGGTATCAGCAAAAACCAGGGAAAGCCCCTGAGCTCCTGATCTATGCTGCATCCACTTTGCAAAGTGGGGTCCCATCAAGGTTCAGTGGCAGTGGATCTGGGACAGATTTCACTCTCACCATCAGTTGCCTGCAGTCTGAAGATTTTGCAACTTATTACTGTCAACAGTATTATAGTTTCCCTCCCACAGTGTTACACACCCGAACAAAAACCCCCAGGGAAGCAGATGTGTAAGGCTGGGCTGCCCCAGCTGCTCCTCCTGATTCCTTCATTGCCTGAGAGTGTTCCTCAGATGCAGCCACACTCTGATGGTATTGGTAGAGGGGGACCTGAAATCACCTCTGCAACCCAATTCCTTTTGCTTTGTAAGCCCCAGCTGCACAGACATAGCAATGCCTCTCCTGATGTAATAAAGGCAGAGATCTTGACACCTAAGGAGTCTAGTTTAGGGCTTTGGTTGGAATTCAAATAACAGAGAAGAAACCACTATAGATATTCTAAGCAGGAATTGTCTTAATACAGAAAATTAGAGTCTAAACTACTGAAGTCTAAATAAAATGTAGAGCAGAATCTCTAAATTTAATGTTTTATTTGCAAAGAAATGTTTGCCAAATTGGACACACAGGAAAACTCAGTGGTCTTCAATATATTGGAAGTACGAAGAGAAGGTTAGTGTTTTATGAAAAAGGGAAAATATTACCTTTTGCATTTTGAGAAAGTTCACTGGCACTAGTAAGGGTTGGGAGCTGGCAAGCTCAGACTGGGAAGCAGTGGTGGACAAAGTGAATCCTAGAATTATATCAAGTTATCTCAGAAGTTGCAGTTAAATGTGAATTCAGGTTACAAGAAGCCAAAGCAGTGAAGGTTGCAGAGAATTTTCTTACTAAAATGCCAGGGATTCAGTGTACACCCTGCTGCTCACCACACAGAAAGTCAATCTCTAAAACAAGTATTGCCAAGAAACAGGCTTTAATCAGGTACTGCAGCCGTGGAGATGGGACACCATTTGCGAATGTATCTCCCTGATCAACTACAATTAAGAGTTTATATAACAGGGACGAAATGTGGGAAAACAGGAATTTGGGGGGTGGGTAAGGAAGATAATTTGGTCAACAGGAAGCAAGAGGTCAGTTATGCAATCATAATGGGTGAAGGTTCTGATGTCTCAGTGTCCGGATTCAGTGATATGTATGTTTCAGCTCCTTGATAGTATCTGGGAGCCCTGATGGTTGGTTTACTGAAAAAAGAACTCAGATAAGACAAATGTAACTATCTTGAGTTTTAAGACTGGGGGAGTCAATTTCTGTTTATTCAAAAAACCATAAACCTTAGTTCCATGGGATAACAGGGCCTATTTCAATTGCATTCTAGAAACAATATTTTACACCCTGAGTGCCTTTCCCCACTGGGTTTCTTGGCTCTTTTGGGTATAACAAGAATGAACCAATGCCTATGATTAACGTTCAGACCACAACCTTTCAAAGCCAAGGATATAGTAGTCAGGAAAGTTGATATTAGAAGCAGGATTGAATGGCGCTCACTCAGAAAACAGAAAGCATCTGCCCTTGAAGTATGGGCTATCTAACCATGTGGTCCTCAGTCCTGTCTGGAAGTTTAGGGGTGGGAGTGTTGATGTTCTCAGCTTCCTGCAGCATCCTTCTAGGTGTTTCTCCAGCCCTCACCTCTGTTCCTGTGTCTGCCTTAGGTACCAATGGAGAATATTGAGTCATCCTTTTCTGATTTCCAAATCTCATGGGAGGACCTCTTGTTGGGCAACTTTATAGGACACAAGAGAGGCAAAAAGGGATATTTACATAAGTTAAAATGATTTTCCCCCACTGAGGCCATTAAAATATATATATATATTTAAAGCCACATGTTGAAAACACATCCAGCTTTATTTTCTTACTAATGCAAATTTACATTTGCAAATCTTTTCAGAATTGTAAAGGTTGAAAGCATAATTATTTGTCCATGGAATGATCAAACACCTCTACAATTAAATGGAGTAAACATTTTCTTCAAAATTTGTACTCATTGAAATAAAGGAATATATTTAAAATATGTGAAGCTATGTTAGAAATTATTGGACTTAAATTCAACTGTGCAGTTTGGTTTGGGATGTTGTTCACTCCTGTGACCTGCCATAAGAATATTGTGTCATGTGTAGTCACTGCTGTTCAGCCTCGTCCTCAGACAATTCATATCTGTAGGCTGAAGATGAGCTCAGTGCCCTGCAGAGAAACCACTCAGCTGAGCCCTTTCTTGATCAGCCAGATGATTGTGAACGTGAACATCCATGAACACGAAAACAAATGTTTACTGTTATCAGCCACTGAGTTGTGTATTTAACCAGTTACCAATCATTATGCATAAAGCCTTCCTGATACAGTATTTACACCTCTACCTACACACACGATTTTTTCTTAAGTTGGTGGTATAAATGTGAACATTTAGTATTAAATTATGAAGTTATTAAGAGAAAATTAATGACAAAATTAAAACTAGTATTCAATAAAAAATTAAAATTTACCTTATTTGTGGAAAATGTGCATATATGTGTATAAGATACATAAAAGCTACCTATATTTATCTGATGAAATGTTGGCTACAAATATACATGTATAGTATTTATATTTAAGTACGTTTATTTATTATATATGCATATTTATACAATTATTTAAATTAAATACATTTAAATAATTTTTGTTATATTCCATTAAAAAAGGGTATGCTGGCTACATATAGTTCATACTGTTGCTACAGAAAATTTCTTTTAGCCTTTATTTTTAAAACTCTATGAAATGATTGTCCTTATCTAAAATATTTTTCGAACCCAGTAGAGCTCCAAGGGTAGGACTAGAGTAAATTTTGACTAAAGTTGAATATTAACCATAGCATCCTATGAAAGTCTCCATTATGTTCACACCCACAGTGATGATTTGTCAAATAGAGTTCTCACAAATAGATGCTGGATGGCGTCACATCAGTGCCATTGTCAAGAAATCCCTGGAAATGTAAAATTCGTAACAGTGGTTAACCTGCAAGGATTACATCTGATGATAACATTGCAAAGAGAACAGCAATGTAATAATATTGGCTGTTGCTTTTGACAGATCATCAGCCCTTAAAAGAAATGCAACAGGATGATTTCAGACAAAGTGATTCAGAAAGAACTATGACTAGACGTTTCAAAAATGAGCCAAAATAAAAACATGCTTTCCAAGTGAATATTAATCGAAATGCCGTTAATGAGTAGGAGGCTTTTAATAATGAGGATGATTCAACAGATGGACTTCAGTCAATCACCTTTCCCAGGTTTCCAAGGTGTCTCCTGAACCAAGGTTATGGAGGTCCCTGTGGGGACTCAATAATATGAGTTTCAACTAACTGAGACATACAGGGCTACTGGCTCTTCTGAACACCTATTTTGTCAAGAAGAATAACGTCTCTTGAACCCCTAACATTGCGCCACACATCAGGGCCCAGACTAACAGCTGGTGTCGGGTGATACTAGTAGACCTCATGTAACGTGAGGAGGGCACTGGTTATTTTCCTATATATGAATTTGCCTTCCTTTTTGGTTATATTTCTGCATAAAATATTATTTGAGGATTTTCCAAGAGCTTTCATCAGAGTCAGGAAGTTCTTCTGTAATATAGCTTTGGATCAAGCAACTTATTAACCTCAAAAAAAGTGAAGTGAAGTGTAGCTCATGCTCTTGTCATGTGCTTTCCCTATGGACAGAGAAAAACCCATTATTAGTCAAGCAAAGCTGGCACACAAACCCTTCTGCTATTGAATTGCTGTCCTGTCAGATATGGTGGAGGCTCTGAAACAGTAACTGTATGAATGGTGCTGTCACTCCCATAAACAGAATATTTATATCTTGAAAATGAGCTGTAGACTCATCATTGTTATGCCAAATGAACAGCTTGAAATACTCTATTTCTATTTATTCAGGGCTGTGGTTTTCTGGTTGACGGCTCTTAATCCAAAGAGTTGATGTGAAATTATTCCATGAAATTGGAAGAAATGATATGATAAGCATGTGACCATTTACATTTATTAAAATACTGGATAAATTGTCAAGACAGGACATTAGGATGTGTGCTGGGGCCATAGATATAGTCCATAAAAGCAAGAGCAAACATAATTGATTTTACATATTTTAGAGAGGAAGTACAGAAAATATGGAACCTAGGGGACCTTCTGGAATGTTTCTATTTATTGCCATTTCCACTGGTAAAACTCAGAGAAGATTTCAACCGTCATCAGGATGAAGTTCTAGGGATCACAGTCATGTGAAGCATTCCCTGTACTTGGATCACCAGTGAGGCAAAGAGAAGATGAAACGCATAGTGGGATATGGAGGTGCAAACACCAGGGACAGCATCCTGGTCAGCTCAAACATGGAGAAGTGTATTTATTTTTTCTCTATAGGTTTATCACTGAATCAGTTGGATCTGAGAAAAGTCATTATGACTGGTTAGGCAGAAAGGTGTTTATTATCATGAATGAAATGGATTGAAAACATTTGGGGAAACCAGAGTGGCAGCTCAGGCAACTCCAAGTACTCCTTTTGCTATTACTTGACCCTCCCCGCCCCCACCCCTATGTTTTCCACAGTCAAGAAAGATACTTTCATTTTGATAGAAACATGGCAAGTGATGATATTGTGCCCAGAGGACTGTGTTGCCTGGCTGTGACCTAGACCAAGAAAATGATCACATTTGAGTGAGTTCAGCCATTTCTCCTCCCTCATCTCAATCCAAAAGCACTCTGTAGTAGCACAGTTGATGGGCATTCTTCACCACATCTGGGACTTAGGAAGCCAAGGACATGAGGAGTAGCCTTTCCAGACTCTACCATAGAGAAAGTATTGCCAGAAACTAGAGAATAAAATAAATATGAAAGAAGCTGGTGACAATAACGAAATGAGTCATGTTAAATAATTTAATCTTTTCTTTACACCCTTTTGCCAAAAGAATTCAAAGTGCTATTTTTACCAATCTTTATAGTTTAGCCCACAAATTAAATAATAAGTAGACAGATTAACGGCTCATGAGAGAAGATCCTTTTATCCTACATGGTGTTGGGCTGAACAGATTGGACTTTCCCCACATTTTGGGGAGCACAATTCTACGTGGGGAGCATGATGTTCTTTGTAAAGGAAATCTTTATGTGAGGTTCTAGCATGTTGCTGTTGATACTAGTAATGACTAGAAATTCAAGTGTAGAAAGATGTGTAGTTATGATAGAAAGCCACAGGGTGGACTTGGGCAGAAATAGCCCCTGAATCCATGAAAACAGATGAATCTACATGAGACTGAAATGAAGATGTAATCAACACAGTCAGGTCTGCAGAGAAAGGGGTCAGGTCTCTAGCAGTTGATAGCGGAGCAGCTGTCCTTCGGGGGGCAGTAGTGAGAAGAGCTGCTCTCTTTCCTGCAGGAGACAGCTTGAATGTGGAGTCTCAGGCAGCAGGAGCTCCTCCCCAGCCTGCGCCAGCAGTGCCATTCTTGGAATTGTTCCAGAGGCTTTGCCTGGAGCCTGTTGCTTAAGGCTTTTCAACAATTTCTAAGGAATTTAATATCCTCTAGTAAATCCCTTTATGCTTCACGGATTTGACATTTGCAACAGGGAATATAAACAGCTTACAGTGACATCATTCACAGCCTCCTTTTTTCTTGCTAAATATAATGCTTTCCAGGTGGACTTGCCAGAGGAAGCTGATGTGAACAATAATCCATGTCACCAAAAACGCAAGACAAATAAGCTCAGAAAAGCCACTGGGTTCTCACCTAGCTTCACTGTCCCCTAGGACAAAATGGGAGAGTGTAACACTCTTAGCTCCACCATCAGAGAGAGAAGGTGAAGTGTGACATTCTCAGCGTAGTAAGTGAATATTTACAGACATTTAAATACTAACACCTTTAACACCAAAATACAGGCAAAAGTAGAAAAAAAAATAAATTGGACTACATAAAAATTTAAAATGGGCATCAAAAGATAAAACCTACACAGTGAAAATGCAACATGTGGAATAGAAGAAAATATTTGAAAATCATATCTGATAAGGGGTTAATAATATCTACTATACAAAAATAAATTCTACTTGTCAACAGTAAAAATAAAATAACTGATTAAAAATGAGAAAAGTATATGAATAGACATTTCCCTAAAGAAGATACTTTGGGGATATTTAGATAACTAGCATAGGAAACGATGCTCAATATTATTAATCCTTAGAAAAATTAAAACAAAACCCACCTGATGCCTGTTAGAATGTTTTTTTCCAACAGAGGGTGACCAGTCTTGGTGAGAATTTAGGGAACTGGAACTCCTGTGGACACTGTCGTGGTGATGTAAATGGCCCACCTGCTGTGGGAAACAAGATGGCAATTCCTCGAAGGATTAAAAATAGAAATACTATATAATTCAGCAATTCCACTTTTGGACATATACCCAAGTAATGGAAGACATTAAATTGAGGAGATATTTGTATATCCACATTCAGAAGCAAATTATTCACAGTAGCCAAATGTAGAAGCAACTCAAATGTTCACAAAGGAGGGAACTGGTAATCCAAATGTGGTAATATACATACTATTCCATATTATTTAGTTTTAAAAAGGGAAATTCTGACACATGCTACAACATGGATGGAACTAGAGGACATTACACTAAGTGAAATAACCCAGTCTCAAAAATACTGAGTTTTGATTTCACTGTGGTATTTGCAGAACAGTTTCCATTTAGTCACGAATTAACCCAGTCTCCTTCCTTTTCTTGATTGTAGTTTTCAGGAATAACTGTAGAATGTTCTGGAACTGTAACATTCTGAGATAGGGCATGATTGGCCAGAATAGCCTGGGTTCTGTTTCTGTCCCTACTAGAAACAGGAATTCCTTCAACACTGTAGCCCAGTGTGTCATGTGATTCTAAGACATAAAACCCAGGGTGGGCTGCATTCCAGGGTTCCTCAGCTGTGGTCCTTTTGTGTTATGCAAGGTCTAGAGTCAATCAGGCCCAGGCAGCTTTGTGCTCTCTCTTGCTGACTCTGTAAGTAGTAATCCACTTCATGTAACTGGTTGTGCATGGGTGTTCTGTCTCACTAGATTTGGGTGAGTTGGCAACCAGTGCACAGCAAACCTTCTTGGCAAAATTGGCACACTAAGAAGGTTTGATTTGAGAGAACCATGGCTTATTGGTGAAGTTGGAGGAACAATACTCCCCAGTACCTGGCCCAGGACAGAGACATCAGCCTGGTGATGCAAGGGCTGGACATGCAGATGGATTTTTAATGAGGAGGGAAGATGAATGAGACATCTGTGACACTTATTTGATTGCTCATTCCTGGGGCAAGAGAGCTCAGACATGGGTAATCAGATGAACCCTGAGTCACCCAAGATGAAACAAGAAAGATAACCTCAGTGGTCCCTGAAGCATCTGAGAAAGAACCAAAATGAACAAAAAAGGCCTTCACAGAAAAGGAGGATCACTCTCTATAAAAGAGTCATGGAAAAATGCCAGGGAAGTCTTATGCTGCCTGGTTGGGGTGTTTATTTGGTTAAGCCACATTGCAGACTGGACTGTCTTTGTCTGAAAGGCACAGTTAGGAATAGGGCCAAGGTCTCCATCAGAGGCTAGTGGCTCTATATTTCTCTCAAGATAAAAAGTGAAAAAAAGGAATTCAGACTTTTCTGAGATTTTTGTATGCTGTAATCCACCTGACAATATTTCCAGGTCCCCTTGGAAAAAATTAAACTGATAACATCAGAAGGTGTCAGGACAAATGAGGACCCCATGGTGAGTATCTGCTTGTGTGCTGATCTGCATATGGATCATTCCCTTTGGGCCATGTTGGGTGCTGGTGACCATGGTTCTCACTGCTGAGTGTAATGGAGGTATTTTTTTGCTGCTGTGCCACAGAACATCACTGCTGCCTGAGGGGCTATCCGCACTCATAGCTAAGTATTCAAGGCATGACAGTGGGGCATATCCACTCCTGCCTGCCACCTAAGTTTCCCATGTCCCAGAGCGTTGTTCAGCAAAAGCAGGACTGCATATTCAATGAAGATCAGAACACTACCTTGTTAATTTAATAGTTGCTACAAAAAATTAAAATGTCACAAAGCCTGGTGTCACAATGGAACAACCCAGTTTGGCAGACTAATGATGGACTGTTGAAGGATGAATGCTAAGGCCACCTGAAAAGGAAACCAAGGCAGTATCCCAGAAATAGTTAATCACTGTTGGTCCTGGTGGCAACCACTAAAAAGAAGGAGACCTACAAGCTAGTAGGTATTTTTGGGTACTGGGGACAGTAGAAATCTTACCTGGGTGTTCTTTTGGTCATGTTAGTCAAAATCATGGAACAAAGTTGTCATCCTTGAACAGGGCCCTTTGCAACAGTAGACTTGGAATCTGTTCAACAAGGCATGGCCGAAGGACTTCTTTAAGAGCTTTAGAGCCCGCTTGCTCCATGGAAATCCAGGTGTCCACTATTTCTATGCATGCTGACTGGAGCCTGTGGCAACAGAAAATTTTCACTCGGTGCACCAGAATCAGATTTTGGACACAAAAGTTTCCTGAAGCAGCCAACAGTTGTGCCTCTTTTGAATGGCGCTCCTTGCTTGCTGTAGGAAACTGATAGGGACTGAGTATCTCAGAGCTAGAGCACCAGGTGGGATGCTGCTACCTTAACTAGCCATTCTCACTCTGGTGCCTACAAACACAATCAACAAAACTGGACAGGCCCATCAGATCCAAATTATTAAATGGAAATGATACAGTCAGAATCAGCCATAACCAGGATCCCACAGGACCCATGTGCCCCATGAACAAATGGCAAGCTTGCTAGAAGGGAACAAATGACCCATAGGGGACAATTTTCTTCTCCTTTGGCCAAATAGAGTCAAAGATTCAGAGACATGCCTATGTCAGTATGGCATTGGGCCCTGATGATTGTACAAAACACATGCCAGTGGATCCACTGGGTTTGGCCACCATCCAGCCAGGGGATGGCATCTTTTGACTGACACTGAACATGGCCATTCTGCCCAATGGGACAAACTACATGCAATGATAGTAGCCATGCAGGCTGCCTCTAACAGTATATTTTGCTCCATTTCCACTAAATCATGGGCCATTGCCAACAACCCAGCCATCTGGTCAGGAAAATAGCAACTGAGTGACTGAACTATTAAAGGATCCCTTGTGTAGGGAAAAGGACTATGGCCATAGTTTGCTTCCCGGGCAGCTAAATATATGTCACTCTATTAGACGCTGGGGCTACCATGGCCACCCTTGAGAGGAATTTATGTCATGTTTTTGGATATTCCATGAGACTTCACTCTGACCAAGAAACAGTCTCACTGCCCAATCAACATGACAATGGGCACATTCTCATGGAAACCAATGGATTTTCCATGCAATTACCAACACCCAACACCCAACACTGCTTGCTGTACCTGGATAAAAACCTCAGGTATCCTAGAAAAACAAGTATAGGTGATCCTGAAGCCGGCTCACTAGCTACAGACAATGGGGCATCTGAAAGATCCCCCTTTCACCTCTTTAGCATCTTAGTCACTGCTTTGGGGGTTCTTATCCTCCTGCCAGTGGTACTAGTTTTTCGTGGCCCAGTGAAATGGACTCTCACTATGGCTTAATAATCTGCATTGATATTGCGTTAGTCAAGGTGCTTCATCAATCTGAAAAGATAAACCTCTGCCTCCAGTTCGGGGAAGTTGGTGGGCCTATGAAGTATGCTAGCTTTGCTAAGGGGGATGTCTAGGTGGTGGGGTAACTGCAAGACAGTTCTTCAATGACCCTGGACTGACTTAGTTCTCTCCACTTTCTTGCTTATTTTAAGAGTTCTTAAGAATAATTGTGGAATGTGCGGGAATTGTAACATCCTGAGATGGAGAGGAACTGAGCAGAACAACCTACCTGTGCTCTATACCAGTTTCCCATAGAATAGAATGTCCGTTAGCACTTTAGCCTTTGTGTCTTATTACCTCAGGATATAAAACCCTGAGTGGCTGCTTTCTGGGGTTCCTGAGCTGTGGTGCATGTGGGGTACACATAGTCAACTCCATCAGCTCCACATAGCTTTCCTGTGCTTTGAGGTACTGACCCATAATAAGTCCAAGACTTTTGTGTTCCCTTGCTGCTTCATGTAACTTGCTGTGGGGGTGTTGTACCCAAGCTCAAGTACGTTGGTAACCAGTGCACGGTGAACCTGCTTCAAAGATGTCAATGACATAGAGACAGAACTGGAATGGAGGTTGTTGGGGCTAAGGATAGAGGAACTGGGGTGGAGTCTTGTTTAAAGGTTATAGATATTAATTTTAATCAGATGAAAATGGTTCTGGATTTAGTATCAGTAATAATAGCAGAGCAATGTGAATATATTTAATGGCATTGCACTGCACTCTTAGAAATGGTTAAGATAGACAATTTCATGTTCTCTGTATTTACTATAGTTAAAAAATTAACATCTTTATTATAGTATTGTTAGCTCAGAAGACATTGCTTTGTTTTCCAATTTTCTGAGCAAATGTTCATACATAATCACTTTGTGATGCTGTTGTTCACACATTTTAACAAATTGTATGTGTGGGGTTGGGGGTGGGACATCAAATTCTTGGCCTTACATGATCCTTCCTCCTCAGTCTCTCAAAGTGCCTAGGGGCTACTAAGAGTCTGAAATCTTCTCAGGGAAACAGGCTGGGGGACACCTCTGAATTCACATCCCCTCTTTGCTTCTCACCCTCTTCCCACCTCCTCTATGGGCACCTCCAGTGTATCTTGTGGGCATCACTGCATGGAGCATGTCAGGATGTTTTCTCCCACCTCCTACTTCGAATTCATGATAAAATTCATCCTCACTTCAGACATGGGCTGTCCACACCTTGTTTCTCTTCCATACATGCCCCAGCATATTGCTGAACCCATAGTTCTGACCCCACTCCATGAATCTTTGTGGAAGGGTCATGGTTGGCAAGTTGTGATTATTGGAGATCAGAAAATAAAACGGCAACTATTGAGAAGTTTGTGCATGGGACAGACATAGGCCATTGTCAACAGAGTCCCAGCAGCTGGTGAGCCATTGAAGCTGGGCAGAGATATTCCACATCAGCCCAGTCAGAGGGGAAGCTGGGAATGAGCCATGGAGGGGCTTCATCCTGTGACCATGCAAACTCTGAGCCATATGTGCTGCTTTGTTTGACACAAATGACCCAAAGAGGACTTGTCTATACTGAGCTCTGGGGACAAAACATCCCTCCATTAAGGGCCCAGAGCCACTATCCATCTCCCGGGCATCTGCTTGTCTGTGATTCCGCAGACCCCCCTCAGGTCACTCAACAGCCTCAGCAATGGGCAGTTCACTGCTGTCAGCCCAGAGGGACATGGAACATGGTCCTGAGCTTTCTGACCCTCAGGCCCTGGAGTGAGGAAGGGGCCATGAGGTGGTGCACCCAGTGCTCATTTTCAATGTTCAAGTTCAGTTCATTAAAGTTTAAAACTGTACCATATACTAGCAATCAAAGTTATATAACTTTATATATCAATGTGTACCACATATTTATCCATAAATGGATACATAGTATATGCAAATATATAAATACAACTTATTTCTAAAATATATGTATTCAATATGTAAAATTTATATTAGAAATTCATATTACAGATACACATAATTTTATGTTTATTTGTGTAGCATGTGTTCCTTTTCTTCCCAAGCAGAACAGAGTCTGGCTGAGTAAAGACTTTCAGGACATTTGCTGACCCTCTCTCTTTGGCTCCAACAGGGTCAAACTGATTCAGGACCAGGGAGTCCAGTTAAAGTCTCTGAGACTTTCACTCTTGCCAGGGTGCAGGATATATGCTTAATGCAGCTCCCCTGAATTAGTGAGCAGTTTCCTTCCCTGAAGCCACTGCCAGGCAGCCTTGTGGCCAGGGCTTGTGGTTCCTCCCAGGTCCTCAGCCTTGTGGCTCAGGAGAACAGCTGCTTCCCCCACAGTCCAGGGCCAGCACCTGGCAGCTCTCAGGCACTGCCAGCCTGACCTTCGCCCTGGGCTAAGGACCCTATTCTAAATGTTTCCTCATTTATTGCAGTACCTGAAAGTCTGTCTTGTTCTTAAACTCAAAATCCAGATTTCCACAAGTGCTAAAGCTAGCATTTGCCACCTTGAAAATTAGAATTGTGAATTCATTGTCATTCTCAGAGCCTGGCCTCTTCCAAGCCCACCAGATAAAGTTGCCCATATGTTCTCTTCTCTCTACACAACTTTACTTAGAATTATAGTGAAATGTAAAATGTGGAAAAGCTCTTATCGACTTCATGGAAAGCATCCTCTTCTCCTTTGCTGCCTAGGGCACCAGCTGTATCCTGCTGGGCACGGTGAGGACAGTGAGCCTCTCCTAGCCCAGGACAGTTGCAGGGATTAGAGGCACATGTGATTAGCTCCACAAAGCAATGTCAGGGGAGTGTAGGAGGGGCAGGGACTCTAGGAAGAATTTGATCCTTCATAAGAAGATGGAAGGTGAAGAATTTTGCTTCACTTTTGAAAATCAATGACTTTATTTTAGATTTGGGAGCAAGTACACATGTTTCATTGCTCTGACTCCTTCCACATCTTCTCTTTCTCTTACAATATCCCTGTCCCAGTCTGTCCTTCTCAGATTGTATCCTGAAAATCTCATTTTCCCTCCTAATATGAAAACAAACCAACAAACATAACCCTCTTCATCCTATCAAGTGCTGTGAGATCTTACCCCTAAACTCTGTGATACTCAGATCGTATAAGAGATAATCATGGGATTTTTACCCAAGGGGTTTTGTAGCTAAAAAGAATTCTTGTGCTAGCTCTTCTCTCGGAAAAATTTTCTCTGTCTCTCATCATAACTGACACGAAAAGACAAGGTGAAAATATGTCCGAGAACAGAGGACAAACATGCTCTCAGTGAGGTTAAAGACATCTCTTCCCCTTGCATTAGCTTCCAATACTGCTGTCTAAATTACCACAGTCTTATTGGCTTCACACAACATAAATGTATTACCCTGTAGTTCTGGAGGTCAGCATTCTCACTGAGCTAATGTTAAGGTGTCAGTAGGGAATAATCCTTTTGGAGGCTCCACAGGAGAGAACTGGATCGTCTGCTTTTTATCTTCCAGGTGCCTCCACATTTCTGGTTCCATGGCCTCTTCCTTCCTCAAACCACATCCCTCCCCATTGTCCCAGCTCCTCTCTGACTGCAAGCCTCCTCCTCTATTTTAATTACCTTTGTGATTATATTGGTTTCATCTGGATAACCAGGTTGATTATTCTTAAAGTCCTTAACTTACATCTGTCAAGTTCTTCTTTTGCTATGTAAGGTAGAATTCTTATGATATGGCTCCAATGACTGGAGAAACACCAGGGCTCTTAGTCTCACGTTGGTTTGTTTGAAAAGACACGAACTCACATGGAGTTGTTTTAAGGAGCAAAAAGTTTAATACGCAAGAAGGAACGAAGAAGAGAAGAGCTCCCCCATACAGAGACAGAGGGAGGGGGGATTATACAAAGAGAAAACTCCATGTGCAGCAGAAAAGTGGCTGCTTATATGAGGAGGCTGGAGGAGGTGGTATCTGATTTGCACAGGGCTCAGGGGATTGGTTTGACCAGGCATGTCATTCATGTAGCCTGAGAAAAAACTGGCCCTTCCACCCAAGCGTTTATATGCAAATGCGGGGTGCCATAATGTCCCACACACATGGAGATATGTGGGTGCAGCCATGTTTCCAGGCACATGTAGGGGCAAGGAAGAAGAAGGTGGGAGCCGGGAGCGGTGGCTCACACCTGTAATCCCAGCACTTGTGGGATCCCACACCTGTAATCCCAGCGGTGGCTCACACCTGTAATCCCAGACGTGTGGATCATGAGGTCAAGAGATCGATATCATCCTGGCCAATATGGTGAAACACCATCTTTTCTAAAAATACAGAAATTAGCTGGACATGCTGGCACACCCCTGTAATCCCAGCTACTTGGGAGGCTGAGGCAGGAAAATCGCTTGAACCCAGGAGGTTGGGGTTGCAGTGAGCTGAGATCTTTCCACTGCACTCCAGCCTGGGTGACAGAGCGAGACTCTGTCTCAAAAAAAAAAAAAAAAAAAAAAACAAGAAGTATGTGGGAATCGCCATGTTTGGCTGGATCCAGTTACTCATGGCCAGTATTTGTATATCAAATCTTGCTGGTCCAGCTCTAAGAGCCAGGGCTGTCCTGCTAGACAAGAAGTGTTTCTGGAGCTGCTTTAAAAGAAACCAATTATCAGGCCTCTGAGCCCAAGCTAAGCCATCATGTCCCCTGTTACCTGCACGTCTACATCCAGACATCCTGAAGCATCTGAAGATACACAAAAGAAGTGAAAATAGCCAGTCCCTGCCTTAACTGATGACATTCCACCATTGTGATTTGTTCCTGCCCCACCCTAACTGATCAATTGACTTTGTGACAATACACCCTCCCTGCCCTTGTGATAATGTACATTGTGATATTCCCCTGGCCTTGTAAATGTACTTTGTATGATACACCCTCCCCACCCCACCCTTGAGAAGGTAGCTTGTAGTATCCTCCCCCGCCCTTAAGAATGTACTTTGTAATATTCTCCCCGTCCTTGAGAATGTACTTTGTAAGATCCATCCCCCGCCCACAAAAAATTCCTCCTAACTCCACCGCCTATCCCAAACCTATAAGAACTAATGATAATCCCACCACCCTTTGCTGACTCTCTTTTTGGACTCAGCCCACCTGCACCCAGGTGATTAAAAAGCTTTATTGCTCACACAAAGCCTGTTTGGTTGTCTCTTCACATGGATGCGCTTGTCATTTTGTGCTGAAGACCTGGGACAGGAGGACTTCTTCATGCGACCAGTCCCCTGTCCTCACCCTCACTCAATGAGGAGATCCACCTACAACCTTAGATCCTCAAACCAACCAGCCCAAGGAATATCTCACCAATTTCAAATCAGGTAAGCGGTCTTTTCACTCTCTTCTCCAACCTCTCTCATTATCCCTCCACCCTTCAATCTCTCCCTTCCTTAATTTTGTTTCCTTTCCCTTTCTGGTAGAGACAGAGGAGACATGTTTTATCCACGAACTCAAAACTCCAGCACGGGTCACAGACTTGGGAAGACAGTCTTCCCTTGTTGTTTAATCACTGCAGGGATGCCTGCCTGATTATTCACCCACATTTCAGAGGTGTCTGTTCCCCACAGGGATGCCTGCCTTGATCCTTCACCTTGGTGGCAAACACCACCTCCCGTGGGTGGCAAGTACCACCGCCCCCACCCCTCCGTGTCTCTATGCTCTCTTTTCTCTGGGCCTGCCTCCTTCACTATGGGAACCTTCCACCCTCCATTCCTCCTTCTTCTCTCTTAGCCTGTGTTCTCAAGAACTTAAAACCTCTTCAACTCTTGCCTGACCTAAAATCTAAGTGTCTTATTTTCTTCTGCAACAGTGCTTCGCCTCAATACAAACTTGATAATGTTTCTAAATTGCCAGAAAATTACACTTTTGATTTCTCCATTCTACAAGACCTAGATAATTTTAGTCAAAAAATGGGCAAATGGTCTGAGGTGCCTGACATCCAGGCATTCTTTTACACATCGGTCCCTCCTTAGTCTCTGCTCCATTGCGACTTGTCCCAAATCTTTCATCTTTCTCTCCTGTCTGTTCCTTCAATCTCAACCCCAAGGTCTGAGTCCTTTGAATCCTCCTTTTCTACAAACCCATCTGACCGCTCCCCTCCTCCCCAGGCTGCTCCTCGCCCAGCCAAGCCAGGTCCCAATTCTTCCTTAGCCTCTGTTCCCCACCCTATAATCCTTCTATCACCTCCTCTCCTCACACCTGGTCCAGCTTACAGTTTTGTTCCGCAACTAGCCCTCCCCTACCTGCTCAACAATTTCCTCTTAGAGAGGTGGCTGGAGCTGAAGGCACAGTCAAGGTTAATGCCCCTTTTTCTTCATCTGACCTCTCCCAAATCAGTTAGTGTTTAGGCTTTTTTAAATCAATTATGAAAACCCAGCCCAGTTCATGACCCATTTGGCAACAAGCCTTAGACGCCTTACTGCCCTAGACCCAGAGGGGCCAGAAGGCCGTCTTATTCTCCATATGCATTTTATCACTCAATCCACTCCTGACATTAGAAAAAGCTCCAAAAATTAGATTCCAGCCCTCAAACTCCACAACAGGACTTAAATAACCTTGCCTTCAAGGTGTACAATAATAAAAAACAAGCAGCCAAATGACAATGTATTTCTGAGTTGCAATTACTTGCCTCGACTGTGAGAGAAACCCCAGCCACATCTCCAGCACACAAGAACTTCAAAACGCCTAAACCACAGCAGCCAGGCATTCTTCCAGGACCTCCTCCCCCAGGATTTTGCTTCAAGTGCTGGAAATCTGGCCACTGGGCCAAGGAATGCCCCCAGTCTGGGATTCCTCCTAAGCCATGTCCCATCTCTGCAGGACCCCACTGGAAATCAGACTGTCCAACTCACGCGGCAGCCACTCCTAGAGCCCCTGGAACTCTGGCCCAAGGCTCTCTGACTGACTCCTTCCCAGATCTTCTTGGTTTAGCGGCTGAAGACTGACGCTGCCCAATCACCTCAGAAACCTCCTGGACCATCACACACACTTTGGGCAACTCTTACAGTGGAAGGTAAGTCCATCCCATTTTTAATCAATACGGAGGCTACCCACTCCACATTACCTTCTTTTCAAGGGTCTGTTTCCCTTGCCTCCTTAACTGTTGTGGGTATTGACGGCCAGGTGGCTCTACCCCTTAAAACTCTCCAACTCTGGTGCCAACTTGGACAATATTCTTTTATGCACTCCTTTTTTAGTTATCCTCACCTGCCCAGCTCCCTTATTAGGTCAAGACATTTTAACCAAATTATTTGCTTCCCTGACTATTCCTGGGCTACAGCCACACCTCAATACCTCCCTCCACAACCCATTATTCTGTTCTGGATCTCAAGCATGCTTTGTTTACTATTCCTTTGCACCCTTCATCCCAGCCTCTCTTCACTTTCACTTGGACTGACCCTGACACCCATCAGTCTCAGCAACTTTCCTAGGCTGTACTGCTGCAAGGCTTCAAGGACAGCCCACATTACTTCAGTCAAGCCCTTTCTCATGATTTACTTTCTTTCCATCCATCTGCTTCTCACCGTATTCAATATTTTGACAACCTTCTACTTTATAGCCACCCCCTACAAATATTCTCAACAGGACACCCTCCTGCTTCTCCAACATGTATTCTCAAAGGGATATCGCGTATCCCCCTCCAAAGCCCAAATTTCTTCTTCATCCATTACCTATTTCAGCATAAATCTTCATAAAAACATACGTGCTCTCCATGCTGGTCATATCCGGCTAATCTCCCAAAACCCAACCCCTTCTACAAAGCAACAACTCCTTTCCTTCCTAGGCATGGTTAGTAGGTACTTTCACCTTTGGATACCTGTTTTTGCCATCCTAACTAAACCATTATATAAACTCACAAAAGGAAACCTAGGTGACCACACAGATCCTAAGTCCTTTCCCCACTCCTCTTTCTGTTCCTTAAAAACAGCCCTAAAAGCTGCTCTCACAATAGTTCTCCACATCCCAACCCTTTTTCATTACACACAGCTGAAATGCAGGGCTGTGCAGTCAGAATTCTTACACAAGAGCCGGGACGACGACCTGTAGCCTTTCTGTCCAAACTTGACCTTACTGTTTTAGGCTGGCCCCCACATTATTCCTGATACCACACCTGACCCCCATGACTGTATCTCTCTAATCCACCTGTCATTCACTCCATTTCCCCATATTTCCTTCTTCCCTATTCCTCACCCTGATCGCACTTGGTTTATTGATGGCAGTTCCACCAGACCTAATCGCCACTCACCAGCAAAGGCAGGCTATGCTATAGTATCTTCCAAATCTATCATTAAGGCTGCCACTCTGCCCCACTCCACTACCTCTCAGCAAGCTGAACTCATTACCTTAACTCGAGCCCTCACTCTTGCAAAAGAACTGCGTGTCAATATTTATACTGACTTTAAATATGCCTTCCATATCCTGCACCACCATGCTGTTATATGGGTGGAAAGAGTTTCCTCGCTATGCAAGGGTCCTCCATCATTAATGCCTCTTTAAAATACAAAACAAACAAACAAAAAAACAAAACAAACAAACCAAAAAAAAAAACTCTTCTCAAGGCTGCTTTACTTCCAAAGGAAGCTGGAGTCATTAACTGCAAGGGCCAACCAAAGGCATCAGATCCCATCACTCAGGGCAATGCTTATGCTGATAAGGTAGCTAAAGAAGCAGCTAGTGTTCCAACGTCTCTCTCACGGCCAGTTTTTCTCCTTCTCACCAGTCACTCCTACTTACTCTCCCACTGAAGTTTCCACCTATCAATCCCTCCCCACTCAAGATAAATGGTTCTTAGACCAAGGAAAATTCCTCCTTCCAGTCTCACGGGCTCATTCCATTCTATCATCCTTTCATAATCTCTTACATGTGGGTTACAAGCCACTAGCCCACCTCTTAGAACCTCTCATTTCCTTTAAGACATTTGCCCTGCATTTCACTCCATCCTTGGCTACCTTCCCCCTTGTCCTTCAGACTCTCCTCCTAGCCCCTCCTCTTGCTTGCTTATACCCAGCCCCATGAGTAGCAGTGAAATGCTACTCATAGACACTGTGGGCTTTCTCATACACCATAAAAATTGAACCTCCCCCTTTACCCAGTTGCCCCATCAATCCCATTACAACCTCTAATGGTGGCTGCCAACGCTCAATCCCTAAAAGTCTGGGTGCCAGACACCTCTTTTGGTGTTCCCTCTCATCTTTTCACTTTACATTTCCAGTTTTGCCTTACAAAGTTCTCTTCTTCCTCTGTGGCTCCTCCACCTATATGTGTCTACCTATCAATTAGACAGGCACATGCACACTAGTTTACTTACTCCCAAAAATGAATTTGCTAATAGGACCAAACAACTTCCTGTTCTCCTCATGACACCAACACTTGACCACTAACATTTTTTTATTAATATAAGAAGACAGGAATAGGCCTCGACTTACTCACTGCTGAAAAAGGAAGACTGTACATTTTTAAATGAAGAGTGTTGTTTGTACCTAAATCAATCTGGCCTGGTATATATAACAACATAAAAAAACTCAAGGATGGAGCCCAGAAAGTTGCCAATCAAGCAAATAATTATGCTGAATCCCCTTGGATACTCTCTAATTGGATGTCCTGGGCACTCCCAATACTTAATCCTTTAATACCTATTTTTCTCCTTTTATTTGGACCTTGTGTCTTCTGTTTAGTTTCTCAATTCATACAAAACTGCATCCAGACCATCAACAATCATTCTGTATGACAAATACTCCTTCTAACAACCCCACAATATCAGCTCTTACCCCAAAATCTTTCTTTAGTTTAATCTCTCCCACTGTAGTTTCCCACGCTGCCCCAATCCTGCTTGAAGCAGCCCTGAGAAACATCACCCATTATCTCTGCATACCACCCCCAAAAATTTTCGCTGCCCCAACACTTCACCACTATTTTGTTTTGTTTTTCTTATTAATATAAGAAGACAGGAATGTCAGGCCTCTGAGCCCAAGCTAAGACATCATATCCCCTGTGAGTTGCGCATGTACATCAAGATGGTCTGAAGCAACTGAAGATCCACAAAGGAAGTGAAAATAGCCAGTTCCTGCCTTAACTGATGACATTCCACCATTGTGATTTCTTCCTGCCCCACCCTAACTGATCAATTGATTTGTGACAATACACCCTCCCTGTCCTTGTGATAATGTGCTTTGTGAGATTCCCCTGGCCTTATAAATGTACTTTGTGTGATATACCCTCACTACCATTGAGAAGGTACTTTGTAATATCCTCCCCTGCCCTTAAGAAGGTACTTTGTAATATTCTCCCTGCCCTTGAGAATGTACTTTGTAAGATCCACTCCCTCCCACAAAAAATTGCTCCTAACTTCACCGCCTATTGCAAACCTGTAAGAACTAATGATAATCCCACCAACCTTTGCTGACTCTCTTTTTGGACTCAGCCCACCTGCACCCAGGTGATTAAAAAGCTTTATTGCTCACACAAAGTCTGTTTGGTGGCCTCTTCACACAGACACGCATGATACAAAGGACCCCTTTTCCTCTCTATCTGCCTAAAATAATTTCTTAATAACTCCTACAACACTTAGGTTCCAGAGACTAGGACATGGACATATTTTGCAGTGGGGACATTATTCATCCCAGCAACAATAAATATATTCCCCAAAATTGTCCTTCTCTAAAGGAAAAATTAAAAAAATCACAAAATATTTTTATGAAGCAAGAGAGATGACAAAATCTTAGACTCAGCTTCCTCTAACTTGTGAGTTTTAACTGTTGGAGTAAGCTCACTCCTCTGTCTCTAATGTAGATTTATGGATGTGTAGATAGTTTTGGAGGATTTTTAAATTTTGTGACCCAGTGTAAACAAAACAGAATCTGAGACAGGTCTCAATCAATTTATAGGTTTATTTTGCCAAAGATAAGGCTTATGGCCTGTGACAGGGCCTTAGGGGCTCTTGCAAACATGTGCCCAACGTGTTTGGGTTACACATTGGTTTTATAAACTTTAGGGAGACACAGAAATTACAAGCAAAGAAATAAATCAATACATATAAGATATACATTAGTTTGTACTGGAAAGGTGGGATATCTTGAAGAAGGACCTCCTGGTCATAGGTGGATTCAAAGCTTCCCTGATTGGCAACAGATTGAAAGAGTTAAACTCTGCCTAAAGAGCTGAATTCACCATAAAGAAGTGCTTGAGTTTAGATAAGGTGGTACGCTTGAGTTTAGATAAGCCAAGGTTCTTGTCGTGTAGATGAATCCTATGGGTAGCAGACAAAGTAGACATTGCTTATCAGAACTTAAAAAAAAATGTCAGACTCTGGAAAAGACTTAGTAAGCGTAGGAGATTCTCTACAGAATGCAAATTTCCCCCACTACAGGCAGCTTTGCAGGGCAGGCCACTTCAGAATATGATGAAGAAATATTTTGGGGGTAAAATATTTAGATTTTCTTCTGGGCCTATTATCTGTCATGTTGGAGTATGGTATCTTATTGCTACCAAGCATCTGTTTTGTCAGTCCAAAGATCTCTGCTGTAATGATAATACTGGTCAGTTGTGTCTGAACTCAAAAGGGAGGAGAGTATAATGAGGCACATCTAAACCCACCAGCTAATCATGGCCTAACCTAGTTTTTCAGATTTCTTTGAAGTTCTCTCTGTCAAAAGTGCAGTCCATTCAGCTCAGCTCGTTGGTGACTTACAAGTTAATTTTTGGTTTAAAAAACACACAGAAAAAAAAAATCACTGCATAAATTTGATCTAAAATAGATTGGTAAAAGAAAAAATTAGGTGCTTCCTGAATACTCCTACATGTCAAAGAAAGAGAAATGATAAGAATTCAGATGAGAAATGCCCCTCACACAAAAGATTAATGAATTTTTTTACTATCTTGGCTTGGGTCCACCAGCAATTAATATTCCTGTTTAGGCAGCAAATTTACACTGGGAGGAAAGGAAGAAAGTGAGGAAGAGGACAGAAGATGAATGGTAAAAGACACATCAACAATCCACCTGACTCAGGATAACTGAAGATCAACCACATGTGGAAACATGGACTAAATTCCTCTGGGCTATTCCACCTGAGAGATGAGGAAGCTGGGGTATGTATACCCCTCATCCTATCCTCACTGATTTTGAGCTGTCTCTCCTGTTCTCTTTCAAGCCACTATAACAGATTCCTTCTCACTGTGTAATTTATAAAAAACAGAAATATATTTTCTCACACTTCTGGAGAATGGGAAATTTAAGATCAAGGCATGGGCAGGTTAAGGTTGGCTTTCTCTGCTTTCGAGATGATGCCTGTATCATTGAATCCTTCAAAGGAAGGAAGGCCATGTTTATCATGACAGATGAGCAGAAGAGAGAGAAAGATTCCAGCCGCATAAACCCTGTTTATACGGGCATTAATGTATTCCACTAGAGGGCTCCACCCTCGTGACCTAAACACACCCCAGTAGGCCCCACCTGGGAATACCATTACACTGAGAATTAACTTTACAACAGATGGATTTTGGAGGACACAGTCAAGCCATAGCAATTTCCTAAGAGATACTCATTCCAGGACATCTGGCCAGCAATGCATGAAGGGAGAGCTCTCTGCCCAAGATCATAAAGAACATAAGACATATATATGGCCATGGGAAGTGAGCAGAGGTACAGCAAAGGGGAAGCCCTACACTACAGATGGGGACTGCTACATTCATCATGGTACAGTTAACCCTTGAATAACTTGGGTTTGAAGTTTGCAGATCCACTTGTATTTTCTTCTGTGTGTCACCTGTGAGCAAGTACTTAATCAATAGTAAATATGTTTTCTCATTTTATGGTTTTCTTAATAACATTTTTTCTTTAACATACTTTATTGGAAAAAGATAGTATAGAATATATATAATGTAAAAAAAATTTAATCAACCATTTATTTTATCACTAAGGCTTCCAGTCGAATGTCTTCTATTGGGACCTAAGTTAGGGATGCAAAAGTTCTACACAGGTTCTCAACTGCACCAGTGGTCAGTGCCCCAACGTCCTTGTTGTTCAGGGGTCAACTGCTCACTCAATCTGTAGCTGCATCTCTCTGGAACAGGATGTTGGCAGGTAGGTTGCAAGTAAAGGAATCCAGAAAATAACATCTCAAACTATGCTGTATTGGTATGATGATTATGTAAAACTACATAATCATTTAGAAAGCAGCAAATGCACTAATAGGCTTTTCCTAAATATCCTTCATCTGCCTAAAAGCGAATTCTCCAGAAGAAAAACAATTGTCAAGGAAATTCTT
This sequence comes from Homo sapiens, assembly GCF_000001405.40. Classification (NCBI taxonomy): domain Eukaryota; kingdom Metazoa; phylum Chordata; class Mammalia; order Primates; family Hominidae; genus Homo; species Homo sapiens. The sequence goes on from NT_187648.1 coordinate 25,830, forward strand.
CCTGGGAATTTTTATATCAGGGAAGATTAACACAAAACAGGAATCAAAAATAGAAGAGACTGGAAGTTGATGCTTTATCTAGACAGGCTATTAACTGTTCTTTCGAAGATGCACTTCTATTCTCATCTATTCAGTCTAGGTTGCCTACACTTCCCAATTCCCTCTTCCCTAGAAAGGAAATATGAACTACTGGATCTCATTGAGTTACCTGGGTAATCACCCTGCTATGATATCTCACTGCACTTTAAGTGAATTTTGTTTGCCTTTTCTCTTATTAATCTTTCTTTTGACAGTTTACTTTCAGCAAATATTTAGAGGACAGATCGAGCTTTCTTCCTTTCTCCCAATATAAGCAAGTTCCCTAAAAATTCAGCCTGCTTACAAAGCAGCAGGAAGGTTTCTGCACTGCATACAGCACTGTGATTTGCCTCCCCTAGTCAGGCATCAGTAAAATTTTGTGGAGCCCTAGGCCGCAGCCCACTGATGCTGATGTAGTTGGATCCACTTCCCCTGTTACTGAAGCAGGTTGGGACATTTTTGGGCACATTAGAGATATGAAATATAAGGAGTGTAAATCCGTGTCCAGTTTCATCTGGATCCAACTGATTTCTCCATGTACGAAGGCAATTGCTTGATAAGAGATTGAGTGACTCTTTCCTAAAGATGTTAACAGGGAGACTGGTGTCTGGGTCAGGAAGATATCCCCAGTCACTGATAAAAAGTATAAGAGGAAAATGGCATTGATGGTGAATGGCAGGGACATGCTCCATGCAGTGGCCACCCTCACTAAAAGAGATGAACTTTGGGGAATAATACTCAATGGAAGAAAAGAAGGTACACTATGAAGGTGCCCAAAACAAGAATAAGGTACAGCCCATTTAGTCTCTGGGTATTAAAGAGACCTGTAAGTCCTTATAATCATGGATCTGTGAGTGTTGCATGCATTGAGGAAACACGGTATCAACTTAGTGTAGCTGAAGTAAACTGCTTCATCTTATACTCGTAAGAACAATGGCATAACACCATTGCCTAGTACTTACAAATATATATAGCATCATGTCAATAAATTTTATTTTTAATTTTTTTAGAAAGCCACAATGTTAACCTCACAGAAATTTACAAGTATAACTCATTCATCCCCTTCACTAACTAGAATAATATGAGAGTCTTTTGAAGACCCGAGAATCATGCTGTCTAACATTTTACTATGTGTTTCCTACAAACAAGAATATTCTCCTAAATTATCCCCATACACCAATGAAATACATTACTCCATCGGCTCCTGAGGAGTATTTCAAATTGTCAAAAAAATGCCTAAAAGATGTTTCTCATAATAAAATAGTCCCCAGTAGAAACACATTCTCTGGAGACAAATTTATGTTACCCTGGTCTTACCTGTGACACCTGGGGACACTGAACCAGTGCTGAGTTACTGAGATGAACCAGCCCTTCAGCTGTGCCCAGCATGCCCTGCCCCCTGCTCATTTGCATGTTCCTACAGCACATCCTCTTGCCCTGAACACTTATTAATAGGCTGGCCACACTCCGTGCATGAGTCAGACCCTGTCAGGACACAGCATGGACATGAGGGTCCCCGCTCAGCTCCTGGGGCTCCTGCTGCTCTGGCTCCCAGGTAAGGATGGAGAACACTAGGAATTTACTCAGCCAGTGTGCTCAGTACTGTCTGCCTATTTAGGGAAGTTACCTTACTACATGATTAATTGTGTAGACATTTGTTTTTATGTTTCCAATCTCAGGTACCAGATGTGACATCCAGATGACCCAGTCTCCATCCTCCCTGTCTGCATCTGTAGGAGACAGAGTCACCATCACTTGCCGGGCGAGTCAGGGCATTAGCAATTCTTTAGCCTGGTATCAGCAGAAACCAGGGAAAGCCCCTAAGCTCCTGCTCTATGCTGCATCCAGATTGGAAAGTGGGGTCCCATCCAGGTTCAGTGGCAGTGGATCTGGGACGGATTACACTCTCACCATCAGCAGCCTGCAGCCTGAAGATTTTGCAACTTATTACTGTCAACAGTATTATAGTACCCCTCCCACAGTGTTACACACCCGAACAAAAACCCCCAGGGAAAGAGATGTGTGAGGCTGGGCTGCCCCAGCTGCTTCTCCTGATGCCTCCATCGGCTAAGAGTGGTCCTCAGATGCAGCCACACTCTGATGGTTTTCTTTCTCAGCCCCAACAGCACAGATATAGCAATGCCTCTCCTAATTTAATAAAGACAGAGATCATGACACCTGAGGAGTCTAGTTTATGGCTTCAGTTGGAATTCATAAAAAACAGAGGAAGCCACTATAGATATTCTAAGCAGGAATAGTCTTAATACAGAGAATTAGAGTCTAAACTACTAAAGTCTAAATAAAATGTAGAGATGAATATCTAAATTTAATGTTTTATTTGCAAAGAAATATTTGCCAAATGGGACATACAGGAAAACTCAGTGGTCTTCAATATGTTGGAAAAACAAAGAGAAGGTTAGAGATTTATGAAAAAGAGAAAATATTACCTATTGCTCTTTGAGAAAGTTCATTGGCACTAGTAAGGGTTGGGAGCTGGCAAGCTTAGACTGGTAAGCAGTGGTGGACAAAGTGAATCCTAGAATAATATCAAGTTATCTCAGAAGTTGTGGGTAAATTTGATTTCAGGTGACAATAAGCCAAAACAGTGAAGTTTGCAGAGAAGTTTGTTACTGAAATGCCAGGGATTCAGTGTAGATCCTGCAGATCACCACACAGAAAGCCAATCACTGAGGCAACAAGTATTGCCAAGGAACAGGCTTTAATCAGGTGCTACAGCCAAGGAGATGGGACGCCATTCTCAAATGTATCTCCCTGACCAACTAAAATTAGGGGTTTATATAGCAGGTAAGTAATGTGGGAAAACAGGAATGAGGGAAGGGTAAGGAAGATAATTTGGTCAACAGGAAGCAGGAGGTCAGTTAGGCAATCATAACGGGCGAAGGGTCTCACTGTCCCGATTCAGTGATATGTAAGCTTCAGCTCCTTGATAGTATCTAGAGGCCTGATGGTTGGCTTCCTGAGAAAATAACTCAGATAAGACAAATGTAACTATCATGAGTTTTAAGACTGGGGAGTCAATATCTACATCTATTCAAAAACCCATAAACATTAGTTCCATGGGATAATAGGGCCTACTTAAATTGAATTCTAGAAACAATATTTTGCACCCTGAGTGCCCTTCCCTTGGTTTCTTGGCTCTGTTGGGTATGACAAGAATGACTCAATTCCTACGATTAACTTTCACACTACAACCTTTCAAAGCCAAGGATATACTAGTCATGAAAGAAGATATTAGATGCAGGATTCTCTGGTGCTCCCTCAGAAAATAGAATGCATCTGTCCCTGAAGTATGGGTTATCTAACCATGTGGTCCTCAGTCCTGTCTAGAAGCTTAAGGTTGGGAGTGAGTGCTGATGCTCTCAGCTTCCTACAGCATCTTTCCAGGTGTTCTTCCAGTCCTCAACTCTGTCCCTGTGTCTTTCTTAGGTACCAATGGAGAATATTGAGTCATCCATTTCTGACTTCCAAATCTCATGGAAGGACCTCTTATTGGGCAACTCTATAGGACAAAAGAGAGGCAAAAGGGGATATTTACATAAGTTAAAATGATTCTTCCCCAAATGAGGCCATTAAAAAAATCATATTTAAAGACCCATATTGAAGACACATCCAGCTTTCTTATTAATGAAAATTTACATTTTCAAATATTTTCAAGATCATAAAGTTGAAAGTATAATTATTTGTCCATGGAATGATCAAACACCTCTATAATTAAATGGAGTAAACATTTTCTTGAAAATTTGTACTCACTGAAATAAAGGAATATATTTAAAATGTTAGAAGCTATGTTTGAAATTATTGGAGTTAAATTCAACTGTGCGGTTTGGTTTGGGATGTTGTTCACTCCTGTGACCTGTCACAAGAATCTTGTGTCATGTGTAGTCACTGCTGTTCAGCCTTGTCTTCAGACAAGTGATAGCTATAGGCTGAAGACAAGCTCTGTGTCTTGCAGAGGAACCACTCAGCTGAGCCCTCCCTTGATCAGCCAGATGATTATGAACATTAGCGTCCATGAACATGAAAACAAATGTTTACTGTTATCAGCCACTGAGTTGTGTATTTAACCAGTTACCAATCAGTAATGCACAAAAGCTTCCTGATACAGTATTTACACTGCTACCTATGTATACACACATGTATTTTTTCTTAAATTGGTGGTATAAATGTGAACATTTAGTAATGAAATTATGAAGATATTAAGGGAAAATTAAAGACAAAATTAAAATGAATTAGTATTTTGATAAAAATTAAATATTATTTATGGAAAAATGTGCATATATGTATATAAGATACATAGAAATGAATATATATTTATTTGATAAAATGTTGGCTACAAATATATGTAGTATTCATATACATTTAAATAATCTTTGTTACAATCCATAAAAAATGGTATTCTGTACCACATATAGTTCATACTCCTGCTAAATAAAATTTCTCTGTAGACTTTGTTTTTAAAACTCTACCAAATGGTTGTCCTTACCTAAAATATTTTTCCAACCAAGTATAGTTCCAAGGGTAGGACTAGAGCAAATTTTGACCAATGTTGAATATTAACCATTGCATCCTATGAAAGTCTCCATTATGTTCATGCCCACAGTGATAATATGTCAAATAGAGTTCTCACAACAATGGATGCTGGATGGAGTCACATTAGTGCCATCATCAAGGAAACCCTGGAAATGTAGTGGGTAAACTGCAAGGTAAACTGTGATCTGATGATCACATTGCAAAGAGAACAGCAATTTAATAATATTGGCTGTTGGCTTTGACAGATCATCCGGCCTTAAAACAAATGCAGCAGGATGATTGCAGACAAAGTCATTCTGGAAGAGCTATGACGAGACGTTTCAAAACTGAGCCATAATCAAAGAAAATGCTTTTCAAGAGAATATTAATTGAAATGCCATTAATGAGCAGGGGCTTTTAATAATAAGGATGATTCAACACATGGACTTCAGTCAGTCACCTTTCCCAACTTTCCTAGGGAGTCTCCTGAACCAATGTTATGGAGGTCCCTGTGGGGATTCAATAATATGAGTTTCAACTAACTGAGACATACAGGGCTACTGACCCTTCTGAACACCTAATTTGCCAAGAAGAACCCCTAACACCCCTAACTTTGTGTGACACATCAGGGCTCAGACTAACAGCTGGTGTCAGGTGATTCTAGTGGACCTCATGTCACATGAGGAGTGGTTATTTTCCTATATATTGAATTTGCCTTTCTTTTCAGTTATGTCTCTGCATAAAATATTATTTGAGGATTTTCGAAGTGCTTTCATCAGAATCAGGAAATTCTTCCATAATATGACTTTGGATCAAGCAACTTATTTACCTCAAAAAAAGTAAAGCAAAGGGTAGCTCATGATCTTGTCATATGCACAGGTGCAGCTTTCCCTATAGACAGGGAAAAACCCATTATTAGTCAAGCAAAGCTGTCACACAAACCCTTGTGTTATTGAATTGCTATGCTGTCAGATGTGGTGGACGCTCTGAAACACTAACCATGAATGGTGCTGTCACTCCCATAAACAGAATATTTATATCTTGAAAATGAGCTGTAGACTCATCATTGTTATGCCAAATGAACAGCTTGAAATACTCTATTTCTATTTATTCAGGGCTGTGGTTTTCTGGTTGACGGCTCTTAATCCAAAGAGTTGATGTGAAATTATTCCATGAAATTGGAAGAAATGATATGATAAGCATGTGACCATTTACATTTATTAAAATACTGGATAAATTGTCAAGACAGGACATTAGGATGTGTGCTGGGGCCATAGATATAGTCCATAAAAGCAAGAGCAAACATAATTGATTTTACATATTTTAGAGAGGAAGTACAGAAAATATGGAACCTAGGGGACCTTCTGGAATGTTTCTATTTATTGCCATTTCCACTGGTAAAACTCAGAGAAGATTTCAACCGTCATCAGGATGAAGTTCTAGGGATCACAGTCATGTGAAGCATTCCCTGTACTTGGATCACCAGTGAGGCAAAGAGAAGATGAAACGCATAGTGGGATATGGAGGTGCAAACACCAGGGACAGCATCCTGGTCAGCTCAAACATGGAGAAGTGTATTTATTTTTTCTCTATAGGTTTATCACTGAATCAGTTGGATCTGAGAAAAGTCATTATGACTGGTTAGGCAGAAAGGTGTTTATTATCATGAATGAAATGGATTGAAAACATTTGGGGAAACCAGAGTGGCAGCTCAGGCAACTCCAAGTACTCCTTTTGCTATTACTTGACCCTCCCCGCCCCCACCCCTATGTTTTCCACAGTCAAGAAAGATACTTTCATTTTGATAGAAACATGGCAAGTGATGATATTGTGCCCAGAGGACTGTGTTGCCTGGCTGTGACCTAGACCAAGAAAATGATCACATTTGAGTGAGTTCAGCCATTTCTCCTCCCTCATCTCAATCCAAAAGCACTCTGTAGTAGCACAGTTGATGGGCATTCTTCACCACATCTGGGACTTAGGAAGCCAAGGACATGAGGAGTAGCCTTTCCAGACTCTACCATAGAGAAAGTATTGCCAGAAACTAGAGAATAAAATAAATATGAAAGAAGCTGGTGACAATAACGAAATGAGTCATGTTAAATAATTTAATCTTTTCTTTACACCCTTTTGCCAAAAGAATTCAAAGTGCTATTTTTACCAATCTTTATAGTTTAGCCCACAAATTAAATAATAAGTAGACAGATTAACGGCTCATGAGAGAAGATCCTTTTATCCTACATGGTGTTGGGCTGAACAGATTGGACTTTCCCCACATTTTGGGGAGCACAATTCTACGTGGGGAGCATGATGTTCTTTGTAAAGGAAATCTTTATGTGAGGTTCTAGCATGTTGCTGTTGATACTAGTAATGACTAGAAATTCAAGTGTAGAAAGATGTGTAGTTATGATAGAAAGCCACAGGGTGGACTTGGGCAGAAATAGCCCCTGAATCCATGAAAACAGATGAATCTACATGAGACTGAAATGAAGATGTAATCAACACAGTCAGGTCTGCAGAGAAAGGGGTCAGGTCTCTAGCAGTTGATAGCGGAGCAGCTGTCCTTCGGGGGGCAGTAGTGAGAAGAGCTGCTCTCTTTCCTGCAGGAGACAGCTTGAATGTGGAGTCTCAGGCAGCAGGAGCTCCTCCCCAGCCTGCGCCAGCAGTGCCATTCTTGGAATTGTTCCAGAGGCTTTGCCTGGAGCCTGTTGCTTAAGGCTTTTCAACAATTTCTAAGGAATTTAATATCCTCTAGTAAATCCCTTTATGCTTCACGGATTTGACATTTGCAACAGGGAATATAAACAGCTTACAGTGACATCATTCACAGCCTCCTTTTTTCTTGCTAAATATAATGCTTTCCAGGTGGACTTGCCAGAGGAAGCTGATGTGAACAATAATCCATGTCACCAAAAACGCAAGACAAATAAGCTCAGAAAAGCCACTGGGTTCTCACCTAGCTTCACTGTCCCCTAGGACAAAATGGGAGAGTGTAACACTCTTAGCTCCACCATCAGAGAGAGAAGGTGAAGTGTGACATTCTCAGCGTAGTAAGTGAATATTTACAGACATTTAAATACTAACACCTTTAACACCAAAATACAGGCAAAAGTAGAAAAAAAAATAAATTGGACTACATAAAAATTTAAAATGGGCATCAAAAGATAAAACCTACACAGTGAAAATGCAACATGTGGAATAGAAGAAAATATTTGAAAATCATATCTGATAAGGGGTTAATAATATCTACTATACAAAAATAAATTCTACTTGTCAACAGTAAAAATAAAATAACTGATTAAAAATGAGAAAAGTATATGAATAGACATTTCCCTAAAGAAGATACTTTGGGGATATTTAGATAACTAGCATAGGAAACGATGCTCAATATTATTAATCCTTAGAAAAATTAAAACAAAACCCACCTGATGCCTGTTAGAATGTTTTTTTCCAACAGAGGGTGACCAGTCTTGGTGAGAATTTAGGGAACTGGAACTCCTGTGGACACTGTCGTGGTGATGTAAATGGCCCACCTGCTGTGGGAAACAAGATGGCAATTCCTCGAAGGATTAAAAATAGAAATACTATATAATTCAGCAATTCCACTTTTGGACATATACCCAAGTAATGGAAGACATTAAATTGAGGAGATATTTGTATATCCACATTCAGAAGCAAATTATTCACAGTAGCCAAATGTAGAAGCAACTCAAATGTTCACAAAGGAGGGAACTGGTAATCCAAATGTGGTAATATACATACTATTCCATATTATTTAGTTTTAAAAAGGGAAATTCTGACACATGCTACAACATGGATGGAACTAGAGGACATTACCCTAAGTGAAATAACCCAGTCTCAAAAATACTGAGTTTTGATTTCACTGTGGTATTTGCAGAACAGTTTCCATTTAGTCACGAATTAACCCAGTCTCCTTCCTTTTCTTGATTGTAGTTTTCAGGAATAACTGTAGAATGTTCTGGAACTGTAACATTCTGAGATAGGGCATGATTGGCCAGAACAGCCTGGGTTCTGTTTCTGTCCCTACTAGAAACAAGAATTCCTTCAACACTGTAGCCCAGTGTGTCATGTGATTCTAAGACATAAAACCCAGGGTGGGCTGCATTCCAGGGTCCCTCAGCTGCGGTCCTTTTGTGTTATGCAAGGTCTAGAGTCAATCAGGCCCAGGCAGCTTTGTGCTCTCTCTTGCTGACTCTGTAAGTAGTAATCCACTTCATGTAACTGGTTGTGCATGGGTGTTCTGTCTCACTAGATTTGGGTGAGTTGGCAACCAGTGCACAGCAAACCTTCTTGGCAAAATTGGCACACTAAGAAGGTTTGATTTGAGAGAACCATGGCTTATTGGTGAAGTTGGAGGAACAATACTCTCCAGTACCTGGCCCAGGACAGAGACATCAGCCTGGGGATGCCAGGCCTGGACATGCAGATGGATGTTTAATAAGGAGGGAGGATAAATGGGACATGGTGAGAGGCAGTGTTTGATGTGGTGGTGAGACAGCAGAAACAGTGGAGAAGCAAGACAGCAAGAGACAGCAAGAGATGGCATTTTGTGAGAAGACGGACATAGCGATCAGCAATGGGCGAGACAGCTATTGGAGAAGTGGCAAGTCAGCGATCAGTGAGAGAGGGCGAGATCGGCGCTACAGCGATTAAAGCTACATAGTTGCTAACATTGCAGAGCTGTTAAGACTGGCCAAAGGCTGTTTGAAGAGCCATCGTCTTTCCTGACAGGCAGTGGAGCTGAGCAGATAGGTAAGTGGCCACAGAGCCACTGCTTCATGCAGGCCAGCCGCTCCATGCACCAGTTCACCCGTGGGAGCTCAACCCACCCAAGCTGGGGAGCCTGGAGAGATCTTCATGCAGGCCTCGTGTTAGAGACTGCTTGGCACCATTTTGGCTCCTGCACACCTGTAAGTGTCCCATCTACCCACCTTCCCTATATCAGATGATCCAGGAAATAAGGCCTTTGGCTAAATAGTCCATTTGAAGTCCCCCATAGCACACCTGACTACATCCTCATTGATCTTTCTCTTAGTCATTTCTCCTCTAATGACATTTTATTTATCCATCAGCCATTTTATCTTATTTTCTGCCCCGATATATGTGTTTGCTTTGCAGTTTTTTCTTTGGGTCCCTACTAATTATGTTTGTGCAATTGTTTAAGGCAGGACACTTGGATGTAAGAATTCTCCTGTTCTGTTGACTCTAAGAAGCCAGAGTCACATTGTTCTATGGCCCCAACCGGGCCTTTGGGGCTCATTGTTGGCCACCCCACTGAGGCTCCAGGATTTTCTGCACTTGTCAGCCCCTGGATACTCCAGGGTTTCCTGGCATTTGGTGTGGGACATTCATAGGCTGATACTCGTGTACTCTGGGTTTTCAGCATTTAGTACTGTTGGCCACTCCCTGGATGCTCCAAGGTTTTTAGCATTGACATTCGTCCGAGGATTGTGGATTGGAGCCTCACCCTATGGAAATCTTGGTTTGCCTTTTCTTGTTTTCTGCCCTAAGGTTATCATTTTCCATAACAGCCTTGTGTTTTCCTTCTGTCACTTTATTTACACTTTTTCTTCTACGCTTTACTTAATAAAAATACAGCTTTAAGGCTGGGCATGGTGGCCCATGCCTGTAATCCCAGCACTTTGGGAGGCCAAGGTGGGAGGATCATTTGAGGTCAGGAGTTGAAGACCAGTCTGGCAAACATAGTAAAACCTCGTCTCTACTAAAAATACAAAAATTAGCCAGGCACAGTGGCATGTACCTGTAACCCTAGCGACTCAGGAGGCTGAGGCAGGAGAATGGCTGAAACCCAGGAGGTGGAGGTTGCAGTGAGCCAAGATCACGCTATTGCACTCCAGCCTGGGTGACAAAGCGAGACTCTATCTCAAAAAAAAAAAAACAAGTAAAACAAAAAATTTTGCCTGTGATACAATAATGAGTTTCTTTTAAAACTTCTGAGATTAGTGTCTTAGAGATTTAACTGTTGTGTTTTGCTGCTTTCAGCTTGTTCTCCCTTTAAAAAGGCCTGGGATCATTGCTGTCTCCTTTTCCTTTTTCATCAGCTCCTGTGATGTTTTCATCTCAACACTTTGGGAGGCTGAGATGGGCGGATCACTTAGGCCAGGAGTTTGAAATCATCCTTGCCAACATAGCAAAACCATATCTTTACTAATATTACAAAATTAGCTGGGCATGGTGGTACATGCGTGTAATCCCAGCCACTCAGGAGGCTGAGGCATGAAAATGGTACATGCGTGTAATCCCAGCCACTCAGGAGGCTGAGGCATGAAAATAGCTTGAAAACTGGAGGCAGAGGTTCCAGTGAGCCCAGCCAAGATTGTGCCACTGCACTCTAGCCTGGGCAACAGAGCGAGACTCCATCTCAAAGAAAAAACAACAACAACAACAACAACAACAACAACAAAATGATCCCCCAAGAATCAATAATAACCAGAATAAGGAGCATTATCAGATATTCTTAATTACTCTTAATTACTGTTAGGCTTCAGGAAGCCACTAGTTGGGTACAGCTGCCCAGGATTAAAACTGTTTCTTACAAGGTCCTACAGCCACAAAAGGTGGACACCACAACCTCCATTTATAAAACAGAAAACTTAAGGCTGTTGTTTTGCAAACACATAGATTAATAACATGGTTCCGTAGGTGGACCTAGGAGCATTAATTTTTCCCTCTCTTCCAATTATAATTTTCTTGTTTAACATCCTAGTAAAGTTTATGTCTTCTAAATTTCATGTAAAGATGATACGGTCTGTCATAAGTCTTCCAACCCATTCTGTCTTCTGACCCCACAAATGAATGCATCATGCCATTGGGCCCCTTAGTTCAGGTACCAAAGATTTTTACTCCTCAAAGGCTAGGGAAGGCCTGCCCCCATAAAGTCAGCAGGAAGCACTTACAGAAAAGGGACTCTGCTCTTCTGCAGTCCCCTTAAGATTAAGGAGGAGTATCTAATCTCTGAGGGAGCAATGAGATAGGAGGTAGGTGGGACTCAACCCAGGACCAGATTGAAGACTGGCTGACACAAGGAAGAGACACTGGAAGCACCTGTCCATAACACATGCCCACCATTGCCATATCAGTTTACCATTGCCATGGCAACACCTGAAAGTTATTGCTCATTTTCTAGCTATTTCTGAATAACCCACTCCTTTATTAGCATGTCATTAAAAGTGGGGATAAATATGAGTGCAAAACTGCCCCTACGCTACTGCTCTTGGCACGCCTATGTGGTAGCTCTGTTTCACAAGAACAGTCACAAAGCTGTAACACTGCCACCTCAGTAAAGCTGTTTTCTTCTACCACCAGCTTACGCTGCATTCCTTCCTGAGTGAAGCCAAGAACCTGCCCTGCACCACTTTTGTCAAGTCAGTTGACATCAAATTACTCATAATATCCTCTCTTTATTTTTTGACTCCTGTAGGCTGTGTAATGACTTCTTCCTTTCCGTTTATGATATTGTGTTTTGTGTCATTTTTCTTTCCCTCTTCTTTTTTTTTGAGACAGATTCTTGTTCTGTCACCCAGGCTGGAGTGCAGTGGTGCAATGTTGGCTCACTGCAACCTCCGACTCCCCAGTTCATGCCATTCTCCTGCCTCAGCCTCCCGAGTAGCTGGGACTCCACCACGCCCAGCTAACTTTTTTGTATTTTTAATGGAAATGGGGTTTCACCATGTTAGCCAGGATGGTTTTGATCTCCTGACCTCGTGGTCCACCTGCCTTGGCCTCCCAAATCTTTCCCTCTTCTTTATACACCCTTCATCAAGTAGTCACAGGTTTCAATTCAGTTCTTTCTTGGTGGTAGTATGCCTCATGAAAAAAGCTGATTCTTCTGTGTTTGAGGCCATTCACCATGTTTATATGTAATACTGTAAAAAGTCCTGTGACATAAGCCTCTGCTTCACAAACTGACCGCTGTCAAACATCATCTCCCCACCAATAGAGAATTTTTTTGTTCCTCACTAGTATAATTCACATAGGAGTAGAAATCTCAAGTTTAAAGTGTGGATTTGCACTTTACCACTTGGTGTATTCAAGAAGATGAATAATATTAATACATCAGTAGGGTCAGGCGCAGTGGCTCAATCCTACAATTCCAGCACTTTGGGAAGCCGAGGCAGGCAGATCACCTGAGGTCAGGAGTTTGAGACCAGCCGGGCCAACATGGCAAAACCCCGTCTCTACTAAAAATATGAAAATTAGCTGGGTATGTTGGCACACACCTGTAATCCCAGCTACTTGGGAGGCTGAGGCAGGAGAATTGCTTTAAATGGAGAGATGGAGGTTGCAGCGAGCCAAGATTGTGCCACTGCACTCCAGCCTGGGTGACAGAGTGAGATTCTATCTCCAAAAAAAAAAAAAAAAAAAAAAAAAATCAGTAGCTTTGAATTTTAAACATCTATTTGACAAGAAATTCACAGTTCTTTCTCTCTTAAATAACATAATAATTCTTTCAGTAATGAGCCTGGTTTGATGCCTCTCTCCCCAACATGATACAAGTATCACATAAATCTATGAAAAATTCAATTTCCCTGTTCCTACAACTGTCTGGGATGGAAAACTTCTTCCCTTGCTCTAGTCCTTTCTTCTACACCTAGTTTCACCTAATCTGTGACTCAAAACAATACTTGTCAGGAAACATTCTGGAAAGAGCAAAAGGCTTCTAAGAGGTGTCAGAGATTCCTGGACCAACATCTGTCCATCTCTAGAGGGGGTTGTGAGTATGAGGAAGAGCAGAGCTTGTAAATCTTCTCCTTGCTTTCACTCCCACTGTATTTCCTAACAACAACCACAACCACATAATATCATAGAACAAGCATCTACTACTTCCAAGGCTTTGGTCTCAGTAAATCTTCTCTACCTCTATCACAGCATCTAGAAGGTTTGATACTCATACAAATAGTGCTGTAGCTTTCTTTTCATAACTGGAAAAGTGGGCAAGACTCAGTGTAATGCAGGCATTCCTTAAGCTACTTAGCATTCAGTTTTTAGATTATCATTGCACACATATACCCAGCATATGTCTAATATACATGTAAAAATCCATGAAGCAAGTGTTATATTAGCTTGTGTTTTCTATTGTATTAAATTTTTCTCTTATATCGTCTTCTCCTTTTTGTCATTAAAAATCTGTTCAAGTCAGTCTAAATTAATTATTGGATCATAAGTAGATAAAATCTTTTATTTCATAACACATTGACCCAATGAATATGTTTCTTTGCAAGACACAGTCCTCATTTCCAAGACAACAAGCCTGAAAAAATTATACTGGAGCAAGTCTACAAGTAATGATGGTAGTTTTTCCTTATTGTCAGTCCTGGGGCAAGAATAACATAAAAGATAACAAGGTAGAATAAAGATTACATAAGAAAGAAGGACAGCAACAGGACATGGGAACTGTTTATAGGGTAACATTTAAATAATGGATGATGAGAAGTAATGCGTTAGACAGGGATGGATGGGAATGATTGAAGGTCTGAGTACTTTAGCACAGATTAAGATCAAATCATTAGGATTTTAAGAGTTGTGTACAGTTACTGAAGAAAATGCCTTAGAATTTAATTTGACTGTGGATAAAACATTCTTGGATTAGATTTAAGACTATTTTCCATGGTAAGTATATTTATAATGATGATGACTGTAGTGCTGAACATTTAAACAATGAAAACAAAATTAATTGCCACACACATAATGTCCTGAATACTACTGTAAATGTTTTATCTTATTTTCTTTAAACTGTCTACAGCACTGTAAGGCAGGTACCACTATTGTCACAGTTACACAGATATGGAAACCGAGACACAGGGAAGTTAAGTTATTTGATTAATTTCAAGCAATCGGGAAGCCATGGAGCATCTATGTCAGGGCTGCCAGGACATGTGACTGTAAACAGAAGTTTTTAACTCAAAGAGGGTATGTATCTGGGTTAATGGAAAGCTTCAGGACCCTCAGAAAACATTACTAATAAGCAAATGAAAGGTGTATCTGGGCCGGGCGCGGTGGCTCATGCCTTTAATCCCAGCACTTTGGGAGGCCAAGGCGGGTGGATCACCAGGTCAGGAGATCGAGACCATCCTGGCTAACACGGTGAAACCCCGTCTCTACTAAAAATACAAAAAATTAGTTGGGCATGGTGGCAGGCGCCTGTAGTCCCAGCCACTCGGGAGGCTGAGGCAGGAGAATGGCGTGAACCTGGGAGGCAGAGCTTGCAGTGAGTGGAGATCGCACCACTGCCCTCTAGCCTGGAAGACAGAGTGAGACTCCGTCTCAAAAAAAAAAAAATGTGTATCTGGAAGATTAAGTTCTAACAGACTCTTCATTTCCATCGATCCAATAATGCACTTAGGGAGATGACTGGGCATATTGAGGACAGGAAGAGAGAAATGAAAACACAGCCTTTTATATTGTTCTTAACAGACTTGTGCCAAACATTATACGGGTGTATTTAGGTGATTGAAGAGAAGAAAGGCACAGGAGTGAAATTCTGTGAGCACAAGGGAGGAGTTCTACACTCAGACTGAGCCAACAGACTTTTCTGACCTGACAACCAAGGTGGCGCAGGATGCTCAGTGCAGAGAGGAAGAAGCAGGTGGTATCTGCAGCTGGAAGCCCAGCTCCCACCCCAGCTGCTTTGCATGTCCCTCCCAGCTGCCCTACCTTCCAGGGCCCATATCAATGCCTGGGTCAGAGCCCTGGGGAGGAACTGCTCAGTTAGGACCCAGATGGAACCATGGAAGCCCCAGCACAGCTTCTTCTTCCTCCTGCTACTCTGGCTCCCAGGTGAGGGGAATATGAGGTGGTTTTGCACATCAGTGAAAACTCCATCAGGAGTTTTCTCTGCTCAGCAAGAAATATAATTAAAATTCAAAGTAGATGAACAATTTTGGCTCTACTCAAAGACAGCTGGTTTGATCTAGATTACATGAGTGCATTTCTGTTTTATTTCCAATCTCAGATACCACCGGAGAAATTGTAATGACACAGTCTCCAGCCACCCTGTCTTTGTCTCCAGGGGAAAGAGCCACCCTCTCCTGCAGGGCCAGTCAGAGTGTTAGCAGCAGCTACTTATCCTGGTACCAGCAGAAACCTGGGCAGGCTCCCAGGCTCCTCATCTATGGTGCATCCACCAGGGCCACTGGCATCCCAGCCAGGTTCAGTGGCAGTGGGTCTGGGACAGACTTCACTCTCACCATCAGCAGCCTGCAGCCTGAAGATTTTGCAGTTTATTACTGTCAGCAGGATTATAACTTACCTCCCACAGTGATTCAACATGAAACAAAAACCTCAACAAGACCATCAGTGTTTACTAGATTTTACCAGCTGCTTCCTTTACAGACAGCTAATGTGGTGGCCACTCAGTTTTAGCGTCTCTGCTCTATTTGGACATTTTGCAGTTCTAAAAAAAAATCATTGAATAATTTGGACTTTGATTCTTGGACTCTTTTCAACTGAGGCACCAGAATCCCAGGTTTCCAGAAATAGTGACTCACTGTATGAATCCTTATATAGCCTCAGTGGTTCTTAACTTTCCCAGTAGAGGTAGCTCAGTGCATGCTACACTGCTCCATTTGAATTTTGCAACATTCTAAGTAGTAGAAAATTCTATTTATTTATCCAAATAGTTGACTCAGTAAAAGCTGTTCATGTGAAGATACTACCATGGCTGAATAAATCCCATTCTTTTTCTTTCTTCAGGCTATCAACATTTCAGTGGCAAATGGTTATTATGGAAACATTTGCCATTTAAAAGTGAACTAAATTATTTCTTCAATTTTCGCTGTGATGCAGTAGACTGTAAAAAGATTAAAGTTTGTTAAAATAAAGTACATATTCGATAAGGAAGAAACAGATTATTCCTAATGACGTCTGCAATGACCTAGTAGAAAGAGTGATAGAAGCAGTTGTTTTCATTATTTTTGTCCAAAACTTCCTTTCAAATGGGATTTCATTGATCATATTCATTTATTACCACCTATAAGACATGTTGACATTATGTAACATCTGATGTGAAGCGCTGAGGATACATCTGTCTGTATTATTCTTGCCAAAAATTAATGGTGTGAATTAAATCAGTAGTAAACATCATATACAAACCCAACTAGGAGGACATTCTTCAACATACCTGGACAGTAAACTTCAAATGTTTGAAGGCCATGAAAGAGAAACAAAAGTGAAAAACTATCACAGATTTAAAGATATTAAGGACAGGATAACCAAATAAAATACAGAAACCTGAATTTTATCTTGTAACATAAAAAAAGTCATCAACGGGAAAAATCAGTGAAATCCATATGGTATTTTAAATGAGTTAACAAATAACATTATATCTATGTTCATTTCATGGTTATGATACTTATGCTGTGGTTATTTATGATGCTGACATTAGAGCAAGCTGAAAGAGGCACATATGGGAATCATTTTTACTATATTTTTCAAATTTTAGGTCTAAAAGTATTTCCCCTCTCTCCTGCATCCTGGGATTGCCTCCAATTAACTACCTGCTTACAAGCCTTTTCTTTATTTTCTTTTTGCCTTTTTTTCTTTACATGTAAAACATGAGTCCATCTGGAGCTTATTTTAAACCACAGTATGAGGACTGACATTGACCTGTTTTTTTAAATGAAATAACTAGCTGTCCCAACCCTGCTTGTTGGATAACACTGCTCTGTTTCAGGAGTACCCCCACTGTCATACACCCGTGGGTCCATACCCCTGGGCTCTCCATCTGGGCACTCCCCTGCCTATGGCACCTCCTTCCTGAGGGCCGGCCTCACCCAGGGCCCAGCTGCCCTCTCCATGGCCTGTGTCTTCCTTTCCTGATGCCTCAGATTTCCCCCATTCTCTGGCACTCTTTCCATCCTCCTGGCCTCACTCTGCACCTCCCCTGAGGTGCAGGACTGCCCTGCCCCAGCCCCCAGCTTCCTCACTCCCAAAGCCTTGTGCCACTGAAGCACGAGCTCCAGAGTGCACCTGGATGGCAGCTTCTCTCCTGGCCAACAAACGCCTGGTGCTGGCTGCCCTCCCAGCATCTCCCCTCAACTCCTCAGCTCCACCCCAGGGCCTTAACACACACATGCATAGCACACACACATACAAACATATGCACACACAGACATGCACACAAATGTACATACGGACTTACACAGACACATACAAATGTGCACACACTCGTGCATACACAGATGTGTTCATGCAAACACACACGTGCACGCTCACAGGCACGTACACATGTGTAGGTTATGCTAAGAAATCCATTTTGTGTGGAAGACACTCAGGCTCAAATATGTGTCCAAAGTCACACAGCTATGGAGCGGCAGAACTCAGGTCTCTAGTGCACACAGCCCTGACTTACCGCAGTTCCACTTAACAGTTTTCAACTTTATAGTGATGCAAAAGCCATCCACAGTCAGCAGAAACCCTCGTGTGAGTCCCACACGGCCAGTTTTTCGCTTTCAGTACAGCAGTCAATGATTACATGAGGTATCCGACACTTGACTACAAAACAGGCTTCGTGTTGATGCTTCTGCCCACCGCAGGCTCAGGGCAGTGTTCTCAGCAGGCCAAGGTGGGCCCCCCTACGCTGTGCTATTCGGTAGTCAGGTGGACTCAGTCATTTTCCACTCGCAGCGGCCTTATCGGGCCGCAGCCAGGGGTAAGTTGAGCAGTGTCTGTACTTTTAGCTCCACCCTGGGTATTTTTAAGTGGCAGATTTACAACAAAAAATAAAAATAAAAATGAAAAAAATACAGCGTTCCAAATAGTAGGGGCATAAAAGGAGAGAATGTACGTTGCGGTCAGCCCATGCCTGGGAGCATAAGCACTTCAGAGGCATCACCAGGCGTGACTGGCTGTTCTTCCTGCTCTTCCTGGCAGCAGCGGCCTGGGCCTGAGAGGGATCGCCCTGGCCACAGCTGTAGGCAAGGCTGCTGGGAGCCGAGAGCCGCCGCGCTCCGCGGTAGCGAGTCTGCGGCGCCACCTCGTGGGTGCTGCGTGGAACTCCCCGTGGTGCGGGCCGGGAAGGCCGGGTCCCCACAAAGCCGGAGCCCGAGCACAGCGGTGCGAGCTCGCCCCAGGGCATCCCACAGCACCTGGAGACGGGGGCTGGTCCCCCAAAACCCTCAGGAGTGAGAGGAAGGAGGTCCCCAGCCTGCTGAGAGCTGTCCTCTGAGCACGCACTCGCGCACACTCACAGGTGCATGTGTGCATCCTCAGGCACCCTGACGCGTTCACATGCATGTACACGCGTGTGCACACGCACAGTCTTTCACAAGCGTATGACGCGTTCACACGAGTGTGACGCGTTCACAGGCACGCACACTCCCTCTCCCTCAAGCCTGGAAGGCGCACTGGGCTCATAGGGGTGGAAACCTCTACCGCGGCAGAGGCACAGCACCAGGGCCAGGATGCTCGCTTTTATTTCAGACGTGAAAACCGAGGCCCGAAAGAGACAGCCAGTGTCCAACCCTGTCCAACGTCTCTGCTGATTGCGCCTCCTGTGTGCGGCCGGGGCCGGTGTGAGGGCAGCGGGCCCACCGCACGCCTGGCCCACCCCAGGGCCTCGAGCCACTTCCTCAGGAGCTGCTGGCAGCTGCAGCGACGGCGCGCTCAGAGCCCGAGGGTCCCATGGAGCCAGGCTTCCCAGCACACAGGCGCGGTGGAGCCTCGGGGTGGGCATACACCCCGTGAGCTCGCGGGGGCTGGGCACTGCGGGTCCTCGGGTGGGGACTCTGGAGTTCAGTCTTGAAGGACACAGTCACCGAGGGTCAGGGAACCAGGAAGGTAGGGAGGGTAGGGAGGGTGGGGAGGGGTGCCTAGGCCTAGTGGGAGAAGCATGTGAAAGTTCCCTAAGAGGGCTGGGGGTGAACAAGCGCTCGGCCCGGCCTCTCCCGGTAGACTGCTCTGGTGCCCCGGAGCCTCCCTTCTCCAAGGCCCCATGGACGCCCCCAGAGGGGTGACGCCCTCGCCCACGCTGAGCTCTGAGTGCTGCACGAGAACTCCCAGAGCCGTGTGCACACGCACTCCCCGTGTTATAACTGGCATTAAGTGCACTCACATTGTCGCATATCCCCTACCACCGTCCATCTCCAGAACTTCTTCATCTTCGCAAAAGGAAACCATACCCATTGAACACCAACTTCCTCCGTTTGTTAACCATTGCTCTTTCTGTATTTGAATTTGCCCATAATGGGCCCCTCATGTAAGTGAAATCGCAATGTATTTGTCCTTTTGTGGCTGGCTTATTCCATCTAGCACAATGTCCTCAAGGTTCATGCCTGTTGGCACACCTCTCAGAATTTCCCTCCTGGCTGGGTAATATCATAGGCTCACGCCTATTATCCTAGCTGTTAGGGAGGCAGAGGTAGGAAGATAGCTTGAACCCAGGAGTTCGAGACCTGCCTGGGCAATATAGCGAGACCGCATTTTCCACAAAAAGAAAGAAAAAAAAGAATCTCCTTCCTGGTAAAGATTCAGTAACAGTCTACTGTATGCATAACCACATTTCGCTTGCCCATCCACTCACCCATAGACCCTCAGAATGCTTCTACCTTTTGACTCTTGTGAATCACGCTGCTTTGAACATGGGTGTGCAAATATCTGTGAGAGTGCCTGCTCTCAAAAAAATCCACATTCTTGGCACCATGAAGAATCACCTCTCACAGACACCAGGGAAAAGCAAGTCTGTCTGAGAGCAGAGGGTGAGGAGGGGAAAGCCGGGCTGCGGATCACAGTGGGTGGAGGAAAGCCCACCCTTGTGTTCCCATGTGTGGGAGGAGAGAGGAGAGATGCCCTCTAGTGAAGGAACTCTTGTAGCAGCCAGCTCCATTCCTGCTTGGCCTGCAGAGGGCCAGCTCAGGAGCCCAGACCAGGAAGAAGTCAAATGACTGACAAGATCCATCAGGAAGCAGAAGTGTGCTGTGTCTCATCGGCAACAACAAACAGAGCTAGGACCAGCCACCCACCCCCCAACCTAGGGGAAATGCATCCACCACACAACTACCACCGCTGCGCTCATGACACTCTCAGAGACAGGCACGGGAGCTCCTGGCAAGGCACAACCAGGGCAAGTGACAGTTTGCCAGTCCTGGGCAAGCAGACACTTATCCTCTCTCCAGTCCCCAATCCCACCAGCCTGCACAAGCAGAGAAACATCCTGCATAAATTAAAAGATTATCCGGATCATCAAAAGATCTGAGCAAACAAAACGACTGAGACAAAAAACAAACAAAACAAAACAAACAAAAAACAGAACAACAACAACAGAAGAACACTCATTTTTACAGAGAGATTTGAGCCCATCCCAACAGAGTACAATGCTCTTTCCAAGCTCATGGATGGCGTTTGGGAAAATTTAGCTGTGCTAAAGGAGCAGGAAGCCTCGGCCCCTTTCCCAAGAATTGCTGTTACACAAATCACATTCTCTCACCAGGGTGCAACAAAATTAGAAACATGCAATAACAAAGACCATGTTAAAAGTGCATTTTGGGGCCGGGCACGGTGGCTCATGCCTGTAATCGCAGCACTTTGAGAGGCTGAAGTGGGTGGATCACCCGAGGTCAGGAGATCGAGACCAGCCTGGGCAACATGACGAAACCCTGTCTCTACTAAAAATACAAAAAATTAGCCAGGCATAGTGGCAAGAGCCTGTAAACCCAGCTACTAGGGAGGCTGAGGCAACAAAATCACCTAAACTTAGGAGGCAGAGGTTGCAGTGAGATGAGATTGTGCTACTGCACTCCAGCCTGAGCGACAGAGTGAAACTCTGTCTCAAAAAAGAAGAAAAAGTGTGTTTTGGAAACAAAGTTAGTTTTCACAATGAAAATTATGAAATGCCTGGAACTCAATAGCAATAGGGTATTACATATTAAAATTATGAAACTCAACAAAATTGACATTTAGGGAGAGATTTATATCCTCAGATTAATTTGTCAGAAACAGGATAAAAGGAGAAAGCTGATGATAATTTGAGTAAAAGAGAAAATAAAAACTAAAATGAAAAACTTTTCAGAAACAAACTACAATAAGTGTGTGACCTATCAAAATATCTGGATGTGTCCAAAGCAGTTCTCAGGGGAAATGTTATAGCTGGAAGTGTTTGTTAATATGCTTCAACAGAAGACATATAAAATTATATAAACTAAGTAAACATACAAGAAGCTTTTTTAAGAGAAACAAGAAATAAATGTATTTAATTTTAAAACAGCCATAATAAAAGTAGACTTGATAAATAAAACCGAAAACCACTTCTTTGAAAAGACCGTTAAAAAAACCTCTGAGAAGTCAAGCAAAAGAGAAAGAAAAGGCACAAATTTTAAAATGTTAGATTTAGAAAAATGGCATAATAACCAACGTGGAGAAGCTGCTTCAAATCAAGGAGACGGGAGGCCAGCTTCATTCCATGGGAGGCCAGCTTCATTCCAGTAGGTTCTGTTTCACCTGGATGAAATGGAAGATTTTCTTGGAATGTATAAATTGGCTTAGCAGGAGGCAGAAAACCTGAATAAACAGAACAAACAGAAATGGTAAGCAGGTGCTCAAGGGGCTCCATCAGCCTCCAGGGATGGGCTGCTGTGTTAGGGAGGGCCAGAGCACAGGGAAGTGGAGTGTAATTCTTTCTACAAGATTAGCAAGCTGAACTTGAATCTCACACACGCACACACACCACAGTGACATGGAAAGAATCCACAGGACACTTATGAGAGGTAAAAATAGAAAGTTTCTGCACAAAACAATCGTGTGTGTTTAAAAGATACCATGTGGCAGAAAATAGTGATCTATGTTTGCCAGTGTCTAGGAAGAAACCTTGAAGGCGCACGCCAGACTGGCGGCTGGGTTGGCTAGGGAGGAGACGATGGGGTGGGAGCAGCTAAGGACGACACACACTCTTTTAACTCTGTTCCTGCGTTGTCGGGACGTTTACAAACTGAAGATATATATTTTTAATTAATTATTTTTTTTTTAAATTTTACTTTAAGTTCTGGGATACATGTGCAGAACATGTAGGTTTATTACATAGGTATACATGTGCCATGGTGGTTTGCTGCACCTATCAATTTGTCATCTAGGTTTTAAGCCCTGCATGCATTAGGTATTTGTCATAATGCTCTCCTTTCCCTTGCCCCCAACCCCTGGATAGAACCTGGTGTGTGATGTTCCCCTCCCTGTGTCTACGTGTTCTCATTGTTCAGCTCCCACTTATGAGTGAGAACATGAGGTACAAACTGCAGATATTTATACATTACTTTAAAGTAATTAAGTTAAACTAAACTAAATGTAAGCCAACTACATGTAAATAAATAAAACCAATAATTAATAACAAGATAAAAGTAATTAATACTTAAATAATTACTAATTTATTTCTCAGCTAAAAATTAAAAATTTAGAAAATGTGGAAATGTGTTTCATAATAGGAGGATATTTAAAATGAAAGGGCATTTCTGTAGTCAAAGGGGTAGGAGACTCACCCAAACAAGACACAACCTCAAAACCAAAAGGAAAACTATCAGGTTTGATTATACGAATACTGAAAACCTCTGAATACATGAAAGGCAAATTCTATATCCCATGAAACTACCCTTCAGAAATGAAGAGAGAAATAAAGACATTCTCAGAGGAAGAGAATATAGGAATTTGTCACTGGTCAATTTAGAAATGCTAAAAAATGGCTACGGAAATATGTTCTGTCATTTCCACAATACAAAAAATTAAAACAAAAAAATCAAAATAAAAAAATGGCTATAGAAAGTTCTTATGCAGAAGGGATGAATATGGGACTATGGGAGGAGGGACAAAGGAAAGATGAGAAATGTGGATACATACGCGAGACAATCCACAGTTCTTAAAATCACATTTGACGACTGAAACAAAAACTATACCACCACCTAATACTCAAGCCAGTGATTTATACAAGTGGAAAAGGTAAAGAGACATAAATGCAAGGCAGGTTTCCACACTTTGAAGTGGTAAATACTGGTACCAGTAGACTACTATATTACAATACACATATTGTAACATCCAGAGCAAACACTTTAAGACTATACAAAGAGATACACGCAACAACATTATACAGAAATAGATCAAGATGGAGGGAAAGAAAAAGGAAACAAAAAAGCAAATAATAAAAACATCAGACATAAGCAATTATGTAACAATAAGCACCTTAAATGTAAATGGTCTAAATAAACCAAAAGACAGATTGATGGAGAGCCTATAATAAACACATGGCCCAACTAAATACTGTTCATAAGAAACTTCAAACTCACTTAAGGACCTAAGTAGGTTGAAAGTAAAAGAATGGAGAAAGATATCCTGTGAAATCATTAATTTTTTAAGGAAGCAGGAGTGAATATATTAATATCTCATGAAGTAGACTTCAAGCAAAATAATGTACCAGAGCTGGAGAGGGTCTTCGCTGAATTTTAAGATCTAAAATTTCCTATGCTGCCTTGACATCTTTGAGCCTCACAGGGCCCCAAAGGCCTAGCCGTGGGTTTTCCTGTTTCTACCAGACACCCCCTACCCTGCCACCCAACAGGAAAGGCTCCCCACCTGGCTAGTTCTTTTATCAGCCAGAACAGTTGCACCTCAGCCTAAGAAGTTTCACTTCACCTGTCTGCAAGCCCATGAATTTATTCAAACAAGCCAATTGCATTCCCCCTCGGGAACCATTGGTCATTGTGTGCTCTTGTTACTACCAAGCCCGCCTGCTTCCTCAGCCCGCAGCCCTCACTCCGCTACAGAGTGCGGTGCCCATCTGACCCTGTGTGGCATGCAGTGTCCTCCTCTGAGCTGTGGGTATGCGACTAAAACACTGCTGTCAATCTCATCCATCCACGCCAGGTGTCGTGTTCAGCCATCTCCTACACTTTAGGGCAGGGACCCCTCCTTCACCAATGGGGTGAAAAGGAAGTGACCATAACAACTGCTTAATGACAAAAGGATTAACCCACCAAGAAGACATCTACTTCAACATCCTCCTCTTAGCAACTGTTAAAACTAGGCAGAGGCCGGGCACAGTGGCTCATGCCTGTAATCCCAGAACTCTGGGAGGCAAAAACAAAGGATAGCTTGAGGACAGGAGTTCGAGCCTGGGCAACATAGCAAGGCCTCATCTCTCCAAAAAATTTTAAATTTAGCCAGGTGTGGCGGCACACACCTATAGTACCAGCTACTCAGGAAGTTAAGCCAGGGGAAGTACTTGACCCTAGGAAGTCAAGGCTGCAGTGAGTCATGTTCGTGCCACCGCACTCTAGTGTAAGTGACAGAGTGAAACTAGGCAGAAAAGGAGCAAGGATTTACAAAAGATCTGAACAGTCAACCAGCAAAATCTGACATCCGTATAATACCCCACTCCCCAACAGCAAAACACACACATTTTTAAAGCCAATAGAAATCTACCAAGATGAGGTACACTTGGGGCAATAAAAGAACTCACAGCAAATCTCGCTGTGTGCCCCTCTGCGCCGGCGCCGTGCCCCTCTCTGCGCCTTCTTTTCTCACCATGGGGAAGCGTCTGGGGGCCTCTTGAGGGACCCCCTAGATGCTTCTACTCAGAGCCCCAAAAGCCGGGGAGCCTCCACTCCTCTGTCTGCAGCCTCCCCTGTCGGTTCTCGCTACCCAGGGTTCAGTGGCCTGGGGGTGACGGAGGGGGTCGCCTCTGCCAAGGCCCCTCCCGGCGCCTCCCTGGCTCATCCAGCCCACCTTCCTCCCACGCTGGCTCACGCAAAGTGCTCTGGTCACCAGGAGCCCTTCCTGACCAGCCCCAGCCCCTTCTTGGCCTTCGCCCACCTGGCCTCCCCTGGAGCCCTGACCTGGGTGCCGGGCCTGCTGGGTCCAGAGCCCACCCGGCCCTGAACAACCCCGAGTCTCAGCCACCCTCGGTTCTTACCCTTTCACAGCTGGGGAGTGGAGCCTGGGCCTGCGCCTCTCCGAGCCAGAGCCGGCGCCAGCGCCTCTCAGCGCCTGCGCCGCCGCTGCGCGCCTCGCCGCCACTGTCTGCCTCTCCGCCGCTGTCCGTCTCTCCGCCGCGCTGCCGCTGTCCGCCTCTCCGCCGCTGTCCGCCTCTCCGCCGCTGTCCGCCTCTCCGCCGCTGTCCGCCTCTCCGCCGCGCCGCCGCTGTCCGCCTCTCCGCTACTGTCCGCCTCTCCGCCGCTGGCCGCCTCTCCGCCGCGCTGCCGCTGTCTGCCTCTCCGCCGCTGTCCGTCTCTCCGCTGCGCTGCCGCTGTCCGCCTCTCCGCCGCTGTCCGCCTCTCCACCGCGCCGCCGCTGGCCGCCTCTCCGCCGCTGGCCGCCTCTCCGCCACGCCGGCGCCAGCGCTGTGTGCCTTTGCGAGGGCGGAGCTGCGTTCTCCTCAGCACAGACCCGGAGAGCATTGCGAGGGCGGAGCTGAGTTCTCCTCTGCACAGACTTCGGAGATACAGCGAAGGCAGAGCAATGTTCTCCTCAGCAGAGACCCGGGCAGGCGGGCTGGTGGCACCGCGAGGGCGGAGCTGCGTTCTGCTCTGCACAGACCTTGGGGGCACTGCCTCGCTTTGGGACAACTCGGGGCCGCATGGACGGTGAATAAAATCCTTCCTGTTTGCAGCCCTGTTTGTGGTTGGTGGCAGCGATGGACACTGCAGCCAGCCAGAGCGTAGAAAGACGTCGGGGTAAGTGCGCTATCCAGGCTGCACTGTGGGTGGCCTGGGACGGGTTGGGAGCCCTATCTCAGGCGTCACTGCCCGTCTTGGGTGGCCGGTTGGGTGTGCTATCTGGGGCTGTGCTGCCTGCACCGGGCGGGGGGGGGGGGTGGTTTGGGGGCCAAACCGGGGCTGCACTGCCTTTGGTGGGGAGCCGGTTGGGGGCACTATCCCAGACTGTATTGCTGGCAACAGTGAGGTGGGCTAAGTGTGCTATCCGGGGCTGCACTGTGCGGCTGTCGGGGGGGTGGCAGTTTCGGGTTGAGGGCGCTATGGGGTGCTGTAATGCCCATGGTGTGGGGAGGCAGGGCAGTTTGGGTATGTTGGGTGTGCTATTGGGGGGGTGACACTGCTGGTGGTAGGGGGCAGGGTGGGTTGGGGGCCATATCAGGGGCTGCACTGATGGCTTTAGCTAGGATTTCTGGTACTATGTTAAACAACAGTGGTGACAGGGGGCATCCTTATCATGTTCCAGATCTTAGAGGAAAAGCTTTCCATTTTTCCCCATTCCATATGATTCTAGCTGTGGGTGTCTTTCCTGTAGTTTTTATTATGTTGCGGTATGTTTCTTCTGTGCCCGTTTCTTTGAGGATTTATAGCATGAAGGGATGTTGAATTTCATCAAATGCTTTTTCGGTTTCAGTTGACGTGATGATACTGTTTTTGTCGTTTATTTGGTTGATATGATGTATCACATTGTATGTTGAGTGACCCTTGGGTCCCAGGGATACATCCCACTTGATCATGATGAATTATCTTTTTAATGTATTACTGAATTTGATTCACTGGTATTTTGTTGAGGATTTTTGCATCCATATTAGAGATCCTGGCCTGTAGTTTCCTTCTTTGATGCTTTTGTCTGATTTTGGTATCACAGTAATAATGGTCTCATAGAATAAGTTTGGAAGTATTCCCTCCTGTTTTTCAAAATAGTTTGAGCAGGATTCGTACTAGGTCTTTAAATTGTTTGGTGTGAAGCCATCAGCAGTGAAGACATCAGTTCCTGGGCTTTTCTTTACTGGGAGACTTTTTCTGATGGCTTCAATCTTATTACTTGTTACCAATCTGTTCTGGTCTTGGATGTTTTCATTGTTTAACCAAAGTAGGTTGTATGCATCTAGGAATTTGCCAATTTCTACTAGGCTTTCCAATTTATTGGCATATAGTAGCCAGTTATGATCCTTTGAATTTCTGAAGTATTAGTTGTAATGTCTCCTTTTTTTAATCTGTTGATTTTATTTATTTGAATCTTGTCTCTTTTCTTAGCCTGGTTAAAAGTTTGTCAATTTTGTTTAGCTTTCCAGAAAACCAACTTTTCGTTTAATCTTGTCTGTTTTTTATTTCAATTTTGTTTGTGCTATGATCTTATTTATTTTCTTATTTTCAGTTTAGTTTGTTCTTTACTAGTTCTTTAAGATGTATTGTTTATTTGAAGGTTTTCTTTTGTTTGGATGGTAGGCACTTATAGCTGTAAATCTCTGCCTTTGTACTGCTTTCTGCATAACAAGTTTTGGTATACTGTGTTTTCATTACCCTTTGTTTCATGAAATTTTTGAATTTCTGTCTTAGTATCTTCATTGACCCACTAGTCATTTATTCAGGAGGGTGGTGTTTAACTTCCATGTGATTGTATTGTTTCCA
Organism: Homo sapiens; assembly: GCF_000001405.40. Lineage (NCBI taxonomy): Eukaryota > Metazoa > Chordata > Mammalia > Primates > Hominidae > Homo > Homo sapiens. The sequence goes on from NT_187648.1 coordinate 53,792, forward strand.
AAATTGCTTTTCTTATTGATACCTAGTTTTATTCCTTTGTAGTGAAAGAAGATGGCCACGGAGACAGACAGCAGCGTGGTCAGAGTGGTAGGAGCCGGCCATCAGCGAGAGCTGCTCCATGCCTGGCTGCTGGGTCTTAGAGCCTGTGGCCCACTGGCTTGCCTCACTGTGGTTGGTGGTGGTGGTGACAGAGACTACAGGACGACCAGAGTGGTAGGACAGGGGCTATCCAGGGCTGTACCTTTCGCAGTGTGGGGTGGGTTGAGGGCGCTATCCAGGGTGTCATTGCCTGCATTAGGGGTACTGGTTGGTAGCACTGTACAGGGCTGCACTGCCCATGGCAGGGAGGGTGGGTTATGGGTGCTCTCTGGGGCTGCAATGCCCATGGAGGAGGACAGGTTAGGGCACTATCGGTTATACGCTACTGGCGGCATTGGGGGACGGAGGTGGGGGGCGCTATTGAGGGCAGGACTAGCCGTGGAGCGGGGGCGAGTTCGGTGCTATCAGGGGCTGCACTGCTGGTGTCGGTCAACAGAGTTGGCATCCAAGGAAGGAGTGGTTCTCCTCTCCCTGACTCCACACTCCAGAGGGCGACCCACTCTTGGTCATACTGGAGTGCAGCAGGGCACGCAGCATTTGCGTGGGAATCCTGAGCATGGCAGAGCCCCCACACCCACCGTGGTTCCTGGGCCTGTGTACTGTGGGTCTGTGCCTCAGAGGCTGCCAGGCACCCCTGGGGACACCACGGGGGACAGGGCCCTGTGCGTGGAGGCGTCCGGAACAGGAATTGGCACCTGGGTGTGGAGGGCTGGCTGGGTCTGAATTTTTCTGCTTCTCCTGCTCCCTGAGGAGTGCAGCCCCAGTGGGCCCAATGGTTCCTGTGGAGTGGGGAGCTGGATGCTGTGGTGTCTCCAGCACCCACCCCAGACCCCAGTTCCTGCCCAGCTTGGGCCAAAAGGAGAGGCTGGACTTTGGAGGGTGGGTGTAAGTGCCTTTGCTGAAACTGGCCCCTGCCACCCAGTGGCCGGCATGACAAGTTGAGGCTCTAACCCTTCCACCCCTCACATCTTTCTCTAGGCTTTTCTGGCTTTGCCCGCCCAGCTGCTCTGTGCCAGGAGGAGGAGACACCTAGAGCCTGCAACACCATGGCTCGCCTCACTGCGGGTGGGCGGCAGTGACAGAGACTGCGGTACACCAGAGCGGTAGGAGAGCGGCTGCGCTAGGAGGGCAGGCGGCTGCAGCCAGGGTTGGGGGTCAGGCTTAGAGCGATGGACGGGCTGCAGCAGTGGCCAGGTGGTAGGAGCCTTGTAGGGAGGGCTGGTGCATTGGCAATGGGCCTGGCTTTGCCCTGCGCCTGCCGTGGATCTGGCCCTGTACTGCCCTGCCTTGCCCTGTACCTGCCCTACTGTTACTTGGACTCTCGGCCCTGTCCTGCTCTGGTCCCATCCTGACCCTGTCTTGGCCCTGTGCTGCCCTGTCCCTGCCCTGGTCTTGCCCTGGCACTGGCCCTGCCCTGAACCTGCACTGGCCTGACCTTGGCTCTGGCCGTGGCTCTGGCCCTGCCTCTTGTCCTGACCCTGGTCGTGTCATGGCACTGGCCCTGCCAATGGTCATGGTCCTGCTCCTGTTCTGGCCCTGACCTGGCCTTGGACATGTCCTGGCCCTGCTTTGGCCCATCCCTGCCCTGGCTCCACCATGGGCCTGCCTGTTCTGCCCTCTCCTGGCACTGACCTTGCCCTGTCATGGCGCAGTGGTGCCATTGCCCTGCCTTACCCTGCGCTGGTTGTGACTTGGCCCCGCTTGGTGCTGGCCGCTCCCTGGACCTGCCCTGGACCTGCCCTGACCCTGCCCTTGGCTTTTGCCCTGCCCTCACTATGGCCTGGCCCTGGCCCTAGCCCTGGTCCTGCCATATCCCTGGCCCTGCCCTTATCCAGGCCCTGGCCTGGAACCTGGTCCTGTCAAGGACCTGCCCTGACTCTGCCATGGCCCTGGCCCTGCTCTGCCTTGTTCCTGGCCCTGACCCAGACCCAGACCCTTTCCTGGCTCTGCACTGGACTTTCCCTGGCCCTGAGCTGGCAATGGTCTGCCCCTGGTCTTGCCATCACCCTGCCCTGCTGCGCTCTGGATGTGTCATCACCCTGCCCTGGCCCTACTCTGCCTTTGACCCTGCCCTGGCCTTACCTTGGCCCTCACCCTAGTCTTCGCTAGACCCTGCTCTGGAGCTGGCCCTAGCACAGACCTGGCCCTGATCCTGGCCGTGGTCTTTGTCCTGCCATAGCCCTGGCCCTGAAGTGGACTTGGAGGTGTCCTGGCCCCGGCATAACATGGCTCTGCATTGGCCTGTCCCTGCCCTGCCGCTACCATCTCCTTGCCCTGCTCTGTCCTGTCCCAGTACTGACCCGGCCGTGCTATTTCCCTTCCCTACCCTGCCTTGGCTGTGCCCTGGCTCGGTTCTGGCCCTGGCCCCGGCCCTGCCCTGGACATGCTCTGACACTGCCTCAGCCTCGGCACTAGCCTGGCTCTTTCTTGGCATCAGCCCTGCTCTCTCTGTGGACCGGCTCTTGTCCTGTCCTGCACTGGCCATACCATGCCCTGCCCTGCCCTGCCCTGACTCAGTCCTGGCTCAGCCCTGGCCCAGCCTTGGCCTTGGCATTGCCCCTGGTCATGCCATATTTCTTGCCCTGTCCCTACCCTGGCCTTGGCCCTGACCCTTACCTTGCTGTGGCCCTGCCCTTGCCCTAACACAGCCCCTGGCCCTGTCATGGCCCTGCCCTGGACCTGTCCTGGCCCTGGCCCTTCCCTGCTTGAGACCTTGCCCTGGTTCTCTCCTGGCCCTGACCCTGAAATGCCTGGCCCTACCCTGGCCTTGCACTGCTCTGGCCCTTGCCCTGACTCTGGTCCTGTCACTGGCCTAGCCCCAGCCCTGTTGCTGGTCTCACCATGGCCCAGACCCTGCCTTGGCCCTGCCCTGACACTGTCCTGGACCCTGGCTGTGCCAAGAACTTGCACTGTCCTTGCCATTGTTTTGCTCCTGCCCCGAACCTGGTCCTCCCCAGGCCGTGGCCATGGCCCTGGCCCTGGCTCTGCCCAGGTCTTGGCACTGTCCTGGCCCCGCCCTGCCCTGGCCGTATGCTTTCCTGGCCCTGCCTCGCCGGCCCTGGCCCTGCCTTGGCCCTAGCCTGGCTTTGACCCTGCCCTGGCCCTACCTTGGCCTTCACCCTAGCCTTACCTGGGCACTGTGTTGGACCTGGCCATAGCACAGACCTGGTTGTGGTCCTGGTCCTGCCGTGGCCCTGTCTCAGACCCTAGCCCTGCCAGGTACCTGTCCTGGCCCAGCTCTGGGCCTGGCTTTGTCCCTGGTTCTTAGATGAACCTGGCCCTGCCCCTGCCCTTGCTCTTGCCCTGACACTGGCTTTGGACATGTCCGTGGTCCTAACCCTGGCCCTGCCCAGGAGCTGCCACTGTCTTGGCTGTGCCCTGGCTCTGGCCCTGCCCCGGCCCCAACCATAGACCTGCCCTGGTTGGTCGTGCCCTACCTTAACCCTGTGCTACCCTGGGCCTGCTCCACCCTGCCCTGGCCCTGCCCTCCCTTTGGCCCTGTCCTGACCCTGCCTTGGCCCTCACACTGACCCTAGCACAGACCTGGTCCTATGTGTGGCCTTGGCCTGGCATTGACCCCTGCTCCTGACCCCGGTCCTGCCATGGCCCTGGCCCTGCCAATGACCCTGGCAGCCCTGACCCTGGCCCTGTCTTGGCCCTGGCCCTGAACTGGCCCTGCCCTGACCCTGGCCCTGAAGTGGATTTGCAGGTGTCTTGTCCCTGATGTAACCTGGTCTTACCATGGCCCTGTCCCTCCCCTGGCTCTGTCCTGGCCTTCTGCTGACCCTGACCCAGACCTTGGCCCTGCCCCAGCCTTGTCCTAGATCTGGCCATGGCCCTGCCTCTGCCCTGGACCGGCGCTGGCACTGGCATGGACCCTGGCCCTGGCCCTTCGCTACTTAAGGCCATACCCTGGCCCAGCCCTGGTCCTGATGCTGTCCTGTCCCTGATTTGGCCTGGCTCTACCCTGGCATGCTATTCTGGCCCTAGCCCTGACCCTGTCCCTGTCCCTGTCCTGGCCCCAGCCCCATTGCTGGTCCTGCCATGGCCCTTGTCCTGACATTGCCGTTTCCTGGTTCTGGCCCTGGCCCTGTCCCAGCCCTGCTCTGGCCCTGGTCTGAACCCTGGCCCTGCAATAGACCTGCCTTGGTCCTGCCCAGACCCTGGCTCTGGCCCTACCTCTGCCCTGGCCATACCCTTGCCCTGGCCTGGCCCCCAGTCCTGGTCCTTGTCCTGCCCCAGCTGTGGCCCTGTCCCTGCCCTGCCTGTGCCCTGTTCTATCCTGGGCTGGCCCTGCCGTGGCCTGGTCTTGCCATTGCCCTGCCCTAGCCTGCTCTGCTTGTGCCCTAGATCTGCCCCTGTCTTGGTTCTAGCCTTGACTGAGCCCTGGACCTTCCCTGACCTTGCCTCAGCCCTGGCACTACCCTGGCCTTGCCTTGGCATTTGCCCTACTCTCTCTATGGCCTGGCTCTGGTCCTGCCCTGCTCTGCTCTTGTTCTGTCCTGGCACAGCCCTGGCCCTGGCCCTGGCCCTGCCGTATCACTGGCTCTGGTCCTGCCCTTATGCAGACCTGACCCTGCCACTGCCTTGGCTTTGGCCTGGACCTTGGCCATACAGTGACCCTGCCATGACCCTTTCCTGGCCCTGGCCTGGAACCTGGCCCTGCCAAGGACTCGCCCTGGCTCTGTCATGGCCCTGGCCCTTTCCTGGATTTGGGTGTGTCCTGTCCCTTATTTGCCCTGGCCCTTCCCTGGCTCTGCCATACCCCTTTTCTGGGGTAGGGCCAGGGTCAGGACCAGACCAGGGCAGGGTCAGGACCAGGGTAGGGCCATGGTAAGACCTGAAGATGGGAAGGGCCAGGGCAGCGGCTGGACCAGGGAAGGGTCAGGGCCAGGGATGTAGTAGGACTAGGGGCAGAGCCGGCACTAGGGCTGAGCCAGGGCAGAGCAGGAGAGATTACAATGGGCTATTACGTAAAATTTTTATTTTAGATTTTTAAGATAACTATAGTAGTAGTAATGTCTATACTATATTGTTTGTAATAGTAATAATATTTGCAGTAATCACTAAATTTTAACTAATACTATCTTTGCTTCCAGTAGTGTTCTATGAGTATAATTTTATCAATATGTTAATATGTGAGGCATTGATTCTCACAATAATTCTATGTGCTAGGTACTTAAAGCATCCCCATTTTCCAAATGTAGGAAACAGGCATAAAGAAGTTAAATACTTGGCCAGATTACTCCTGTAATCCCAGCACTTTGGGAGGCCAAGGCAGGCAGATGGCTTGAGCTCAGGAGTTTGGAACCAGCCTGGGCAACATTGTGAAACCCCATCCCTACTAAAAATGCACAAAAAGAACTAATTTAAGTTTCTTGTAGGATTCTGGTTATAAAACACTGGTCAAACACACAGGGCATGGATAGGGCAGGGCCAGGGACAAGGTCAGGCCAGGAAGGGGCCAGGGCCAAGGCAGGGCCAGAGCTGGACTTGGAAGTGTCCTGGTCTGATTTGCCCTGCCCCAACGTTGGCCCAGCCCTGCTCTGGCACTTCCTGTCATGCCCTGTCCCTGGCCTGAGCACTGGCCCTGGCCCTGTCCTGCTTCTGGCCCTGCCCCGGAGTTGACCAGGCACTGCCATGGCCCAGTCCTGCATTGCCCTGCCCTCCTCTGCCCTGGTGCTACCATGGCCCTGCTTGGGCCCTAGCTCTGCCTCTACTCTGGACCTGCCCTGACTCTGCTCAGCCCTGGATCTACCCTGACTCTGCCTTGGTGTTGCCTTCCCATCTCTATGGCCTGGCTCTGGCCGTGCCTTGCACAGTCCATGCTCTGCCCCGCGTGTCCCAGCCTGGGCCCAGCCCTCGTCCTACCATATTCCTGACCCCAGCCATACCCTTCCTTCTGGGCGTGACCCTGCCGTGGCCCTCTCCTGGCCCTTCCTTGGTCCTTCCCTGCCCTTCCATGCCCTGGCCTTGCCCTCACCCTGCGTTGGCCCTGCACTGGTCCTGCCCTGCCCTGGCACTGCCTTGGCCCGGCCCTGCCTTCTCCCTCGTCTTGCCTTTGCCCTGCCCTGGCCTGACCCCAGGCCTACCGAGTCCATGAAATGGCCCTGGACCTGCCTTGCCATCGTCTGTCCTGGCCCTGTATTGTCCCCACCATGCTCTGGTCCAGCACTTGCCCTGGCCCTGTTGTTAGTCCTGCCACTGTTATGGCCCTGCCCTGTTTTTGGCCATGCCCTGTGCTACCCTAGCCCTGCCCTGCCTTGGCCTTGGCCCTACCATGGCCTTCTCCTACCCTGACCTGGCCCTACACTGGCCTTTTCTACCCTGGCCTTGCCCTTCCCTGGTCTTGCCTTGCCCTGGCCTTGCCCTGCCCTGGCCTTGGCTTTGCCTTATCCTGGTCCTGGTTCTGCCCTGACCCTGGCCTTGCTCTGGATCCTCTCTGGTTCTGCTTTCTCCCTGGCCCTGCCCTTGCTCTGGCCCTGTCCCTGGCCCAGACTTGACCCTGACCCTGGCCCTGACAATCCCCAGGTCTGACACTGGCCATGCTTGGCCCTGGCCCCTCCTTTTGGCCCTGCCCTGGCCCTGCCTTGGCCCTGTGCTATCTTAGTCCTGCCCTGGCCCTGAACTCACCCTGGCCCTACCCTCACCCTACACTGGCCCCACCCTACCCTGGCCTTGCCCTGCCCTGGCCCTGCCTTTGGCCTGCTCTGGCTCTGCTTCTGCCCTGGCCTTGCCCTTGCCCTGGACCCTCCCTGGCCGTGTTTTTTCCATGGTCCTTCTCTGGCCTTGCCCTTGCCCTGTCCCCTTTCTGGTCCTGCCATATTTCTGGCCCTGTCCTGTCCATGTCCTGGACCTGACTCTGGCCCTGGACCTCCCTGTCCCTGCCCTGCCATACCCTGGCCCGTTCCTTGCTCTACACTGACCCTGCCCTGCCTTGGCCCTGTGCTACCCTAGCCCTGCCCTTGCCTTCTGCTGACCCTGATCCTGCCATGGCCCTGGCCCTGCCATGTCCCTGCCCTGGCCCTGGTTCTGCCCTGCTTCTGGCCCTGGCCTTGGTCCTCTCATGTCCCTGGCCGTGACCCTGCCCCTGGTTTTTCTCTGGCCATGACCCTGCCCCTGTTCTGTCCTATCCCTGGCCCTGTCTTAGTTCTGTCCTAGCCCTGGCCTTTCACAGTACTTTATGCTTAGTAAGGGCTCCATGGTGTCTGTGAGTTGAATGTTGTGTTCATAGTATCTGCCAAAACAGAAAGAAATAAAACAAAATATTTTGATAAGAAGTTAAAGCTTTGTATAAAATATACCTTGAATTGTAAATGCCTGTTATTAGTTGTATTACATATAGGTCATGGTTTTGTACACATAACTCCAAACCATTGATACTGTTAAAAGAATATATGAATATATGAAAGAATGTATAAACGTAAGAATGTATCAGTATCTAATGACCTTTCCAAATTAATTTTTATTTTTAGCTCTATTAGATTTTTCTCAGTGTAACAAATGTTTATTCCTATGTAATTAAGGGTGTATTTCCTGTACAGAATATTCATATTACCTAATTGAAAATTATATGATACAAAAATATAATACTATTTTTAGGCCAGGCATGGTGGCTCATACCTGTAATCCCAACATTTTGAGAGGCCAAGTTTGGAGAATCATTTGAGTCCAGGAGTTGACCAGCCTGGGCAACATAGTGAGATCTTGTCCTTATTAAATAAATAAATAAATAAATAAATAAATAAATAGGTTGGGCACTGTGGCTCATATCTGTCATCCCAGCATTTTGGGTTGCCAATGCAGGAGGATTGCTTGAGCCCAGGAGTTTGAGACCAGCCTGGGCAGAATAGCAAGACTCCATCTCTACAAACAATAAAATATTAACCAGGTGTGGTGGTGCGCACCTGGGGTCCCAGCTACCTGGGAGGCTAATGTGGGAGATTTTCTCGAGGCTGCAGTGAACTGTGAATGCACCACCGCATTCCAGCCTAGGCCACAGAACAGGACCTTGTCTATGAATAAAGAAATAAGTAAAAATATAAATAAAAATAAGTAAAAAGAAATATTAGTAAATATAAATATAAATACATATAAATATAAAAATGCATTCATGAAAAGAAACAATTTTTAAATTTAACATCACTGAGGGCATCCTATCCATTTCATTTCATGATTCCATTATGTCATTTCACTTAGATGAAATGATAAGATGACTTGAGATGAGATGAAATGATGAGATGAAATGACAAAATGATAAGATGAGATGATGAGATGAAATTTTGAGATGAAATGGTGAGTAGAAATGATGAGATGAAATGATGAGACAAAATGACAAAGTTGAAAAGAAATTGAAAGGAGATGAGATGAAATGAGATGAAATGATGAGATGATGAAATGATGAGATGAAACGAGATGAAATGATGAGATGAAATGAAATGAAATAATGAAATGATATGAAATAATGAAATTGAAATGAGATGAGATGAGATGAAATAATGAGATAAAATGAGATGAAATGAGATGAACGATGAGATGACATGATGAGATGAAATGAGATGAAAAATGATGAGATGAAAAATGAGATGAAATAATGAAATGAAATAATGAAATGAGATGAAATGAAATGAAATAATGAAAGCAAATTATGAAATGTAATGAAATTGAAATGAAATTGAAATGAGATGAGTTGAAATGATGAGATGTAATGATGAAATGAAATGATGAGATGAGATGAAATGAGATGAAATAATGAGATGAAATGAGATGATGAGATGAGATGAAATCATGAGATGAAATGATGAAATGAAATGAAATGATGGATGAAATGAGATGAAATGTAATGAGATGAAATGAAATGAAATAATGAAATGAAATAATGAAATGATGAAATAATGAAAATGGAAATGATGAGATGAGAAGAAATGATGAGATGAAATGAGATGAGATAAAATGAGATGAAATGATGAGATGAAATGAAATGAGATGAGATGAAATGAGATGAAATATGATGAGATGAAATGACATAATGAAATGAAATGATGAAATGGAATAATGAAATGGAAATGAGATGAGATGCAATGAGTTGAAATGAGATGAAATGATGAAATGATGAGATGAGATGTGATGAAATGATGACATGAAATGATGACATAAAATGAGATGAAATGTAATGATGAAATGAGATGAAATGATGAGATAAAATGATATGAAATGATGAGATGAATGATGAGATGAAATGATGAGATGAGATGATGAGATGAAATGATGAGATGAACTGATGAGATGAAATGAAATGAAATAATGAAATGAAATTGAAATAAATAAATTGAAATGAGATGAGATGAAATGATGAGATGATGAAATAAAATGATAAAATGATGAGATGTGATGAGATGAAATGATGAGATGAGATGACATGAAATAATGAAATGAAATAATGAAATGAAATTGAAATGAGATGAGAAGATATGAGATGAAATGAAGTAATGAGATGAAATCATGAAGTGATGAGATTAAATGATGAAATGATAAGATGAAAAGAGTTGATGAGATGATAAGACAAAATGATGAGATGAAAAGATGAGATGAAATGAAATGATGAGATGAAATGAGATGAAATGAAATTAGACGAAATGTAATGAGATGAAATGAAATGACATAATGAAATGAAAAAATGAAATAATGAAATAAGGTGAAATTAAATGAGATGATGAAATTAAATGATGAAATGAAATAATGAAATGGAAATGATGAGATGAGATGAAATGACGAGATGAATGATGAGATGAAATGAGATGAAATGATGAGATGCAATGATGAGATGAAATGATGAGATGAGATGAGATGTAATGATGAGAGGAAATGATGAGATGTAACGAAATGAGATGAAATGAATGAGATGAAATAATGAAAGGAAATTGAATTGAGATATGAGATGAAATGAGATAAAATGAGATGAAATAAGAAATGATGAGGTGAAATGATGAAATGCTGAGGTGAGATGAGATGAAATGAGATGAAACAATGAGATGAAATGAAAGGATGAGATGAAATGATGATATGAGGTGAGATGAGATGAAATGAGATGAAACGAGATGAAATGATGAAATGATGAGATGAGACGAGAAGAAATGATGAGATGAAATGAGATGAGATAATGAGATGAAATGAAATGAAGTGAAATGAAATGAAATAATGAAATGAGATGAGATGAAATGAGATAAAATGATGAGATGAAATGATGAGAAGAAATGAGATGAAATGATGAGATGAGATGATGAGATGAAAAAAGATGAGATGAAAAATGATGAGATGAAATGATGAGATGAATTGAAATGAAATAATGAAATAATGAAATGAGATGAAATGAAAAGAAATGATGAAATGATATTGAAATGAAATTGAAAGATGAGATGAAATGATGAGATGAAATGATGAAATGTTGAAATGAAATGATTAAATGAATAGATGTGACATGAAATGAGCTGAAATGATGAGATCAAATGAAATGAAATGAGATTAAATGATGAGATGAAAAATGATGAGATGAAATGCTGAGATGAAATGAGATCAGATGAACTGAGATGAGATGAGATGAAATAATGAAATTAGGTGAAATAATGAAATGAGATGAAATAATGAAACTGAAATGAGATGAGAAGAAATGAGATGAAATGTTGTAATGAAAGGAGGAAATGATGAGATGAGGAGATGAAATGATGAGATGAATTGAGATGAAATGAGATGAAAAATATGAAAAATGATATCAAAAATATGAGATGAAATGAAATGAGATTATATGAAATGACATAATGAAATAAATGAAATTAGATGAAATGAAATGAAATAGTGAAATGAAATGATGAAATGAAATAATGGAAATGAGATGAGATGAGATTTGGTGAAATGATGAGATGAAATGATGAGATGATATGAAATGATGAGATGAGATGGGATGAGATGAAATGAGATAAAATGATGAGATGAAATGATGAAATGATGAGATGAAATGATGGGGTGAAGTGATGCACTGTCACGTGTGTGTCTATTCTTTTTCCCAAGCAACAAAAATTATAATTCATTAATTTTAATTTTATTATTTAAGAATATTCTTAAGAGTTGAAGGAAAAATAATATCTGTACATTATGGGTTACAATCTAAGTATAAATAATACATAAATATATTAAAACTTACAAAGAATATGTTTTGGAATCGAATATACCATGCTTCTGTGATGACAGTTATTTCATGCTGGTTGTCACAATTTTACATGAAAAACTAATGAAAAAATGTTTTTAACTGTTTCTAAAAATAACAGTTTCCAAAACAGTTTTACATTCGAAATATGAAAAAGATGTCTTTGTGTTCCTTAATCTGATGAGATTTTCACACTCTGCACATGATAATTGTTAGATTTTTATTGTGTTGATAAATTGTATATCAAATAAAAAATGTTATTACCTCTTAAATTAGGATTTTTAGGTGATATAGGCAGAAAGGACGGCAAGTTTTTATAACTTTCTCTAAATGAACTTTCTAAATGCCTGAGTATTAAAAGATAGCATGTCTATAAATCACAATGTATATATTACTGTATGACCTAGGACCAATCAAAACCGTTACCTCTGATAACATTATATTGTGCCCAGTATAAAATAGATATAATAATACCTCAAACTTAAATCCGGGCATTGTCATTGAATATCTTAAGAATATGCAACAAAGGTGCTTTTAAAAATACAAGCTAGTGATTGTACCAAATTTGTAAATCACATAGGATAGTGGGTCATTTTAAGAATATTAGTTATTTCAATCTATAAACGTGGATGTCTTTCCTTTTTTGTGTTTTCTTTAATTTCTTTCATTAATATTTGTCATTTTTGTTGTCGAAATCTTTTACTTCCTTGGTTAAATTTATTTCTAAGTACATTTTTGTAGCTATTGTAAAAGGAATTGCTTTCTTAATTTCTTGTTTCAGCTAGTTTATTATCAATATATAGAAATGCTACTGATTTTTGTATGTTGATTTATATCCTGCAACTTTATTAATTTCATGTATCACCCTAAGAAGCTTTTGGTAGAGTCTTATTTTTTTCCGTGTATAAGATCACATTGTCTTTAAACAGGGACAATTTGACTGTCTCCTTTCCAATTCAGATGTCCTTTATTTCTTTCTCTCACCTAATTGTCCTGGCTAAGACTTTCACTATGTGAAATATGATTGGTGAGAATAGGCATCCTTTTCTTGTTCCAGTAAAATCTTTTTCTTGTTCACAGTAAAATCTTTCACCTTTTCCACACTCAGTATGATCTTAGTTGCAGATTTGTCCTTTATGTCCTTCTGTTTTAAGGCATATATTTTCTATACTAAATTGTTGAGACGTTTTTTGTCATGTAAGAATATTTAATTTTGCCAAACGCTTTTATTGTGTTTATTAATTTAATCATATGGTTTTCAGTATATATCCAAAGGAAAGAAAACCAGTATATCAAAGACTTACCTGCACCCCCATGTTTATTACAGCACTATTCACAATAGCCAAGATATGGAATCAACAAAAGTGTCCATCAACAGATGAATGGATAAAGAAATGTGACATACATATATAATGGAATACTATTTAGTCATAATAAAGAACAAAATCCTGTTATTTGTGGCAACAAGAATGCAAGTGGAGGGCATTATGTTAGGTGAAATAAGCCTGGCATAGAAACATAGACACCACATAACTACGTGTTCTCACTTATGTATGGAAGCTAAAATTTTTAATCTCGTAGAAGTAGATAGTAGAGTTTTGGTTACCATATGCTGGAAAGAGTAGGAGAAAGAAGAGTATAAGAAAAATGTGGTTAATACATACAAAATTACAGCTGGAGAGAAGGAAGAAGTTCTAGTTCTCTACAGCACTGTTGGGTGACTGTAGTTAACGGGAATTTATTGTGTGTTTTCAAATAACTAAAATAAAAGATTTTGAATATTCTCACTGCAAAGAAATAATACATGATTTAGGTAATGGATATGATAATGACTCTGACTTGATCTTTACGTATTGCATAAATATATCAAAATATCACTCTGTACCCCATAACATGTACATTTATTATATGTCAATTAAAGTAAATTTAAAAGAGAAAAAATGAGGTAAAGGTAAATATACATAATTTAATTACTTTTTCTTCTATAAAACCCGAGTCAGTACCAAGAAGAGTCAATTTATTAGTTTTCTAAAATAAAAAAAATCAAAATCACCAAAAAAGAGCAATATCCAAGAAAACATTGAAAATGAAACACAACATTTAGTAAGAATAGAAAACTTGGGCACCGTATCACCCTGTTCCTAGATACCGATTTACTGATGGCCATTTAAATAGAATTTTATTCTATCTAATTCATTAATACTCCCAGAGTTCGAAATTACATTTTACCTACAATAAATGAGATAACACTTGTAAATTATATGGTACTCTGCCTAACACACGTTAATAACTCAATACATGTTAGCAATAAACTTTTAGTATAGTAGTCAAAGTATTAATTTCTCACATTGCAATTTCCTTCAAAGACATGAATACAACCTTTCTAATGACTCCTTGTTCATCAAGATACCTCTTCAAATTATTCTATTTGTTTCATTCAGTATATTATCTGTGTATACCGATATTACACTCTTTTCTTTTTTTGAGATGGAATCTCATTCTGTTACTGATGCTGGAGTGAGGTGGCATGATCTCGGTTCACTGCAACCTCCACCTCCCAGGTTCAAGCGATTCTCCTGTCTCAGCCTCCCAAGTAGCTAGGACTACAGGTGCATACCACGATGCCTGGCTAATTTTTGTATTTTTAGTACAGTCAAGAGTTTCACCTTGTTGTCCAGGCTGGTCTCGAACTCCTGACCTCAGGTGATCCACCCACCATGGCCTCCCAAAGTGCTGGGATTACAGGCATAAGCCACCGCACCCAGCCTGATATTGCACTCTTGGATTTTGAACACTGAATATCTTTTTGAAAGATTACACCTCTTTACTTCTTTGTGCTTCAGAAATTATTTTCCTTCAAGTGTTCTAAGAGTCTAATGAAGAATGAAGTCATGTTTTATCACTTTTGTCCTTAAAGATTTCAGACATGCTGAAACTGATTGAAGTATCATTTGCTACTAGATAGATTAATTATCTCCAGTTGTAGGAGTGGATACATCTTTAATGGTATATTTTGGGTTATTGTCTTATTTTTGATGCAGTATTCTATAAATAATTTATTAAACCTGGCATCCTTGGGTGAGCATAGATTTTTCAACTTTGGCGTTATATTGTGTTTGCTTTTAAAAACTGCTTCTGAGGCCAGGTATGGTGGCTCTTGCCCATACCCAGCACTTTGGGAGGCCAAGATGGGTGGATTACCTCAGGTCAGGAGTTCAAGACCAGCCTGGTCAACATGGCAAAACCATGTCTCTACTAAAAACACAAAATTAGCCAGGCATGGTGGTGCGTGCTTGTAGTCCTAACCACTCGAGAGGCTGAGGCAAGAGAATCACCTGAACCTGGGAGGCAAAAGTTGCTAGGTTGCTGTGAGCCAAATTCGCACCATTGCCCTCCAGCCTGGGTGAAAAGAGCAAAACTCTGTCTCAAAAAAAAAAAAAACCCACCAAAAACTGCTTTTGAATGGAGTTGTACATATAATTTTTATGAAAAAAATTAACAAGTGCATAAGTTCATAATAGAAAAACCAATAATACTCCAGGCACAAGTTAGTACTAAAAAAATTATGTTGAATATTCTCTAATACAACATGCTTTTTCCCTTCATGAACAATTTGTGTTTTACTGAGAAGAGTCATTGTTTATGGTAGACTACAGATGAATATGTACTTTAAACACTCTTAGTTGCTTTCTTAATTTTATATCTGCTGCTTTATGCTTCTGTTTATTTTCATTCTTTCCAATGTCCACATTCTAGTAAATTTGAATATTTTAATCCAAGTTTATATACTATTTAATATTGCTTGTATAGTTTAGTATTTTTAAGACTCAAAAAGGTTTACAGAAAGAAGAAAAAGATCAACATGTTATTAATCATTTAAAGATCATTTTGAAATCTTTGACCTTTATATTTTAATGAATAAAATATTAGTAGTTATTAGTATAAAATAATTTATGTCTTTTGGACTTAGCATCCAGTATTTCTTTTTTAATAAAGAAAATAATTATTCTCTTGCAATGTACTATGTTTATCTGGGTTTTGAAAAGTGATGTTTCCTAATATGAGAAAGCCATTTACAGTTTTAAATCTACAAAGGCAAATGGAATGGTACTAAATTATTTACATAATAATGTTTAGATGGTGGCCCTTATAACATTCTTTCTATACTTCCTACAGAGTTGGGGATATGCAATTCTAGAATATTTCTGGGAGCTAATCCTTTAGCTTGATGAATGAAACAAGACTTTTAAATAAAATTAAACTTTCAAATTATCCAGGTAATGGGCCTGTCTTTTAATTCAATGGATATGGAGCATAATGAATTAACCCCTGTTCATTGGGTAATAAGTTCTCATTCTTTTAATACTCAAAATGTCCTTTAATTTTTAATTTTTGATAGTCATATCATTATCCCTAGGTATTTTAGCTTCTATCTTAAATTCTAAAATAATTTTGAAATAGGAGAAAGTATTCTTTATTACTATATGTATTAAACATCATGGTTTTCAAATTGAACTGCAAATGTAACTTTTCATTGCTTCTTGATGACGCCCTTCACCCTATCCATATTGTCACTACCAAGTGGTGATTACTTTTCAGGTTCACATACTTATTCTTCAGAAAAATCTTCTCTGTGCTTTATAAAGAATATGATTGTTGGCATTCAAAAGCCAGTGAAGTATACATTATTAGCCTGTTGCCTAACTCATTTCTTTAAGAAACTACACTAATTACCCACATACTTATGTTTTTATTTCCTCATTATTTCTGGAGAAAACAAATACTGCTAACGTGATATTTGTAAGAGAGAAAAAAGTCTTTTCTTGAAAAGTGCTGTCATTGTAGTACTAACTTATAGTATCAACTTCTTTATAAACTCCTTAGACACTTTTTATTCTGAGAGAAATAAAAAAGCTAAAAGTCAAATGACTTTTTTTACTCTTCTTATTATAAGCACCTATCTTGGTAATTTAGGGTCTTTATAGTTAGGGTAAGTTGTGTCATACCGAGGTTACAAAATAAAAAGTATTTTGTCTCTTTGGGCCTTTCCTTATTCAGTAATACTGTCAGTTTGGCTTTTTTTGTAGGTCAACTTATTGAACTCAGTATTCTGAAATAATATGTTTACTATCTTTTGAGAAGCACTTAAAATATTAGATTTATTGTTACTCTTCTGCCTTTATTGGGCTGGAAGAATAATTGTTTCACTCCACAAAAGGCAAGTTGCGGAGAAAAACACATAGACATTCAACCGCAAAGCAGAGAAACTTGACTATTTTCTGCAATTTTAAAGTGTATATTGAATAAAACCATCTTTTTATTTTCTTTTTTGCTCACTGGCAAATATTAACAACATCAAGTGTATTATTATAATGTTATCTAGTTAAAAATCTCAAAAAGTTTTCATAATTACCATTTTAAAATATATAAATAGGTGACCTAATGTTAATTTTTATTGTCTGAGACCATGTCTGTTATTTCACTCTTTAAATTCAGTTAGTAGTGCAGAACCTAGCACTTAGTAGATACTCAAAAATTATTTGCTGAATAAAAAAAGGTTAAACATGTAATATATACAAAATGTACTGGAAAAAAATGCACCAAACAATTTTGTTATACCAGTTTAATGTAAATATTGCCTTTAAAAGATAATATAGTTTTCAGGTGTCTACAGTGATTTTGTAATATTTGTGCACATATAAAATAATATTTCCAAAAATGTAATCCAGTGGGGAAATATACTTTCTAAATTCTAGATTTATAATTTAGGGTTTAAATTATAAAATCATTAAATAAGACACAAGTGAAATGTAGTCAAATATCCCCTTGGAAAAAAATTAAGTGGCCTCTAAAGTGAGGTATTCATATATGTAATTTTACAATCCTCTAGTGATAGAATTAATTAAATACACCACCAAATTGATTAATTCCTACTGTGTTAAAAGAGAAGCACTAACAATGCCAGTTACCATGTAACATGGATTTAAGCTACAAGTCATAGAAATGTGATGAGAAGCCTCAGCGCTGTAAAACAGAGGGTGGAGGAAAGCTTTTCCTCTCTCAAATGAGCTTTGCGAGATATACTTCTTGAAGGATAGGAAGTTGAAGTGTTCAGGACTTTTATGTCTATTCTACTTTGGCTTAGTTTACATGATTCGTAGTTTATTAGCCTAGAAATGGCCAAGAAAACTTAAGGTTCAATAATTAGTTATAAATATGAAATATCCCCGATTTTTAAGATAAAAACAACTTATAAATGTATTTGTCTGTAAAAATTGTGTATATTTTTACAGAACATCTATTTCTTTTTTTATTTTTTTATATTTATTTATTATGCTTTAAATTCTAGGATACACGTGCACAGTGTGCAGGTTTGTTGCATATGTATCCATGTGCCATGTTGGTGTGCTGCACCCATTAACTCATCATTTATATTAGGCATATCTCCTAATGCTATCCCTCCCCCCTCCCCCCACCCCACAACAGGCCCTGGTGTGTGATGTTCCCCTTCCTGTGTCCAAGTGTTCTCATTGTTCAATTCCCACCTATGAGTGAGAACATGTGGTGTTTGGTTTTTTGTCCTTGCGATAGTTTGCTGAGAATGATGGTTTCCAGCTTCATCCGTGCACCTACAAAGGACATGAACTCATCATTTTTTAATGGATGCCTAGTATTCCATGGTGTATATGTGCCACATGTTCTTCATCCAGTCTATCATTATTGGACATTTGGGTTGGTTCCAAGTCTTTGCTATTGTGAATAGTGCTGCAATAAACATACGTGTGCATGTGTCTTTATAGCAGCACGATTTATAATCCTTTGGGTATATACTCAGTAGTGGGATGGCTGGGTCAAATGGTATCTCTAGTTCTAGGTCCCTGAGGAATGGCCACACTGTCTTCCACAATGGTTGAACTAGTTTACAGTCCCACCAACAGTGTGAAAGTGTTCCTATTTCTCCACATCCTCTCCAGCACCTGTTGTTTCCTGACTTTTTAATGATCGCCATTCTAACTGGTGTGAGATGGTATCTCATTGTGGTTTTGATTTGCACTTCTCTGATGGGTCTATTTCTTTAAAACAAAGGGAGGGGAGTCTCTCATTTGCATTAGTTTTTTTCATAGCCTTTTAAACTTTGCAATTTCTATGTTTCAGAACCTATTTCTTACAGTTTTTCTATGCTAAACTCTGTCCTAGTCAGTTCTAGAGTGTATGAAGAACCAAATGATGTAATTGTATGCCACCTGGCTGTAGTGGAACAAATTTGACTCTTAAGTATGCAGGCTCTAATTTTCCTGCCTGGTTTTGGCAAGTATTCCTTACATAGGTTTTTTCTTTGAAAATCTGGGATTGAGAGGTTGATGAATGAAAATTAATCCTTTCACTTTTTTGTATATAGGTTTGCAATAATTAGGTCAGAGTGGAGTTTTAAGGTCACGGAGGGGTCTGATGACTTACAAATAATGGGCTCTGATTGGGCAACCACTCATCTGAGTTCCTTCCATTTGACCTAATTAAGCTTGTGAAATTTACACTAAGCCATGAGCTCATCTTTAAAAAGTTTTATTAAAAGATTTTCAGCTGTTCCAAATGGGACTTATTAGTGGAATGTGTTTTAAAGGATCATATCAGATGAATGAAAGGTATTTGATCCTTCGTTTCCTTAATAATAAAATGATGGTTTGGAAAAATAGGCTACAGTCTAACCACAGTGCTATTATTAGGCTTTCTTGTTAAACATAGGTCTAAGCCTAAGTATGTCAATACAACAAATACTTACTGTTTCATTTCTAGTAATGAAAAAAAAAACAAGTCTTTCTGGCATAAGGATGATTTTCATCTGGTTATTTTGAAACATTTTTGTAAAATAAATTTACATCTATAAAGAACATTTTTATTTGTAAGGAGGGGTATGTCTCTGTGCACTGGAAGAGAGGGAGGACTAAATCACTGGGAAGTCTTATGATAAAGAAGCCATTGGCTTAAATCAGCAAAGCAAGCTGTCCCTTGGTTTAAGGTGTTTTTCCTGGCCATCCTGTCTTGACTAGAACTTTACCTACACCTTCCTTTTTGGTTTAGGCAAATTATAGTATCTAAAACTAAAGTCTCAGCTCTGTGTCTTTGACATATAAATGTTCTACCATGTCTTCTCTGGAATCTGATAACTATCTATCTCTTTAAAATGCAAGTCTAGGGAGATGACTCATCAGAAAAAGAAGAAAAAAGAGGTATTTGGAAATTGTGCAAATTAAAGCAGCCCCTGATGTCAAAGTCTGCACATTCCTGAGTGAGTCAGTTCTGGCCAGTTCTAGCTGGATCAAGAGAGCTCTTCTGGGCAGGCCTGAAGAGCACCTGAATGGCAGACACCTGAGGAGCCAGGTGCCTGAAACTTCCTTCACCTGCTTGAGGAGGGCCAAAGCCCAGGTGCTGGCTGGACAACCACTTCTGGCTGCCTAAGCAGATGGCAGAAGAAGGAAACAAGGTCAGAGGCAGAGTATTGAACCCTGCCTCCCAGGTGGGTGGAAGATGCCTGTCGCCAAACTAGGGCCAAGCTTGCCGGGTGAGATGGGTGAACTGGTGATCCCCCGAGAGAGTGGACGTCAGAACTACATGTTCCTGGACTTCACCTCGGCCAGCGAAGGAGAGAGAGGGTTAATGTTAACTGCACGAGGCCCACTCTAGCCTTAAATTCTGTAATTCAAACCCTTCCCTTGGAGACAAAACAAACATGACAAGGAATTCTGAGGTCAGGGGACAAGAATCACAAAGTGGGAGACTGAGGAGGCAGTGTCCTTCCTGCCCTTGGTCTACTGGCTAAGAACCTTCCTCAGCCTGACCTTTGCACATTGCACTTTCAGCTCTGTTTGCAATTTTCCTCCTTTAGTGCTGAGGGAATCCCAGTGTTCCATCCTGAAATCTATAGGTTCCTAATGGGTGGTTAAAAAAAAACCTCAGCGAGAGAAGCAGAAAATGTTTCCTCTTCCTGAAAAACTGTAGAAAGGCAGGCACCATTCTGGTTGAGGACATGGTCCTTGCAAATGTCTTTGTGTTGTTTTTGTTTTTGTTTTTGAGATGAAGTTTTGCTCTTGTTGCCCAGACTGGAATGCAGTGGTGTGATCTCTGCTCATTGCAACCTCCGCCTCCTGGGTTCAAGCAGTTCTCCTACCTCAGCCTCCCGAGTAGCTGGAATTACAGGCACCTGCCACCACACCTGGCTGATTTTTTGTATTTTTAGTAGAGATGGGGTTTTGCCGTGTTGGCCATGTTGGTCTCGAACTCCTGACCTCAAGTGAGCCACCCGCTTCTGCCTCCCAAAGTGCTGGGATTACAGGAGTGAGCCACCGCGTCCAGCCTGCAAACGTCTTTAAAGACAGCGTGTTTCAGAGGCTGTGACAGTGCCCTGTGAACATGCCAATTCTCACAGTCCTGGGAGCTCTGAGGAGCAGGCCCGGCTCCTTGCCAGGCTGATGGTACTGAAACTCTGCTCTCCAAGACATAACCTGATGGCCATGCAAGATTTCTTAATCGACTGTGGACCGTGAGAGTCTGCATCTCATTTTAATTAAGATGGGAAAAGAAAGAACAAAAGAGCAACTCCCAGGTTATAGAGAAAGTGGATTTTAGTATAATATTCAAGTGTAGCATTGCTAATAATAACAAACCTTTCCCCTCCTGAACGGTAAACACTTGCACTGCCTATTATACAAAAATTCAACCACCCTCTCTGTTACCCCGATATCTCCTCCCCAGTGACCCCCCCCCCTCATGCGGCCTCCTGAGCCTGACCAGTGGTGAATGGCACTTTCATGGGCATGAGACTCCACGTGAGTGGGACTCAGCTGGGACCCCTCTCCACGTGGGAGCTGGGGAAGCCACCCTAGTAGCAGCTCAAAGTGTCCGTGATGTCCCTGCTGCTGAGGTAGGGGCTGCCTCTGAGCTGGTCTCGGGGTGTGAGCTGCTGCTGGTAGTAGGCTCTGCCCTGAGGGCCTGGTGGCTGGTCAGAAGGGCAGGCACACATGGGTGACTCCCCAGGAACTCAGGCCACCTCCCCACCACAGCCCTGCACTGTGTGCTCCAGGCATGTGCTGAGTGCCTGGTCAATCACCAGTGCCCTATTGATCCCAGTCTCCAGAGAGAGCATTTAGTGTCACTCCACAGAGGGGGAAACTCGGCCCAGAGAAGTAAGGTGACTCTCTCCAGTCACAGAGCTGGTCAGCAGTAGGATGGGAGGCTAGTCCCTTGCTGTCTGACTCCCTGAGCCCACCCATATCCCAAGGCAGCCAACCTCTGCCCGCCCTGGTTCAGGCCCCGACTGGCCCCTGTGGTGGGTGATGTCTATCTTCCTGGCCTTTGTGCTCCCAGCCAACTGGGATGGAGCCTCCAGCTGGCATGACATGTTGTAGCTACGGACAGAAGAGTGGCTATGAGGCTGCCAGGAATCTCACCAGGGCCCCCTCCCAGGGCCTGTCCAGAGTGAGGTCTGGGTACC
Source organism: Homo sapiens (assembly GCF_000001405.40). NCBI lineage: Eukaryota > Metazoa > Chordata > Mammalia > Primates > Hominidae > Homo > Homo sapiens. The sequence goes on from NT_187648.1 coordinate 75,580, forward strand.
CCAGGCATTGCCAGACCACAGGATCTGATGTTGGCCAAGAGGCCATGGCCACAGGCTTTCTGAGGCTGGCCCCCAGGGAGAGTTCAATCCTACTATCCCAATTCCTGTCCTGGCCTTACCTCTCAGTCTCACCGAGCCGCTTCGTGGTCCCAAACCAGGACCCAAAGTGCTGCTTGGGCTCAAGGTTGTAATTATTTGCAGTCAACTGGAGCAGTGGACCTCCTTGCTTACTTTGAATTCCTGGGTCCAGAGGGAAAAACTGGGTGGTGACAGGGACTGGACAGGGATGCCACAGGGGCCCTGTGGGGGTGTTAGATGGGGTGGTGGCCAGTCTTTGCTCATAGGGGACCCCCTCCTCCTCTCCAGTCCTGTCCCCACCTGTTCTCAGAGCTGGCTCAAACGGCAGCTCCTCCAGGAATGTGTCCTTGGTTTCAACCTGGTACTCCCACCTGCAGGTCTTCCTGGAGTGTCTCCTCTTTCTCTCTGTCTCCCCATAAATCTAAGACGAGGGGGATGGATCTGCCCACTGCTACTCACCATATGACTCTTGTGAGGTTGATCAGTCTCCCCTGGAAGGCCAACAGCTGAAGTCCATCAGAAAGGGTCCTCTGGCCCAGAGCCAGCCCCTGCCCACCCCTGTCTTGCTGCACCCAGGGTGCAAGACCCAGATCAGGTCTGGGTGACAGGAGGGGTATAGAGGGGCTGAGGCTCAGGGGCCTTCTAGCCTAACTTGTCTGGAGACAGTTGGGGAAACTGAGACCCCAAGCAGGGAGGTATGGCTCCGAGAGATTATTCTCATTAACCTGGAACATTTTTGCAAGCTGTTAGGTATAGGAAGTCTGTCACAGGTAAGAGAAATGCTTTTTAAGAGCATGAGAGACAGCAGGGTTGTGACAATATTGAAACACCACCGTGCAGATTCACCAATTGCCACCACCGGGAGCCCCCTGAGAGTCATTGCAGATGCACAGCCCTCCCCTGCAACCCCTGGGCCTCCCCGTGGTCTGGCACCTAAAGGGTTATGCCTCATGGCAGGAATCAGGGCCCTCAGGGTGCCCTGCCCACTCCAAGGTCTGCCTCTGCTCTGATTGGTCACTGACATTCAGATTGTCACCCAAATATAAGGACGTTAGCAGAAAGACTCATTCAATACAAGTGGACTCAGACATAGATAGGAATTGGGTTGCAAAAAGCCCCTTTTGTTTATTTTATTTTGGAAAAAACTTTTATTGTGAAAATTCACATATATATATATATATAAAAACTCAATCAATGCAAAAGGATAGACAATGAACAAATGAATTCCCCTTCCACTCCAGATCCCCAACTCAGATCCAGACCTCCTGAGCCCACTTCCCCCATCTCATCACAGATCCAGACCTCCTGAGCCCACTTTCCCCATCTCATCACAGATCCAGACCTCCCCCACTTTCCCCATCTCATCACAGATCCAGACCTCCTGAGCCCACTTCCCCATCTCATCACCAGTGATTTCTTGGGCTCTGCATTAGTTTTCTATTGCTGCTGCAACAAACAGCTACAGACTCAGTGGCTTCCATTTCTGTCTTATAGTTCTGGTTGCCAAAAGTCCTAAGAGGATCTCACTGGGCTAAAGTCAAGGTGCTGGCGGGGCTATGTCCCTTCTGGAGGCTCAAGGGATGAATCGGGTCCCTGCCTTTTCTAGCTTCTAGGGGCTCCAGCTTCTAGGTTTGTGGCCTCCTTCCTCCATCCTCAAAGCCAGCAACAGCAGGTGAAGTCCTCGCCCATCATGCATCACTCTCCCTTCTTCCTCCTTCAACTTTTTTTTTTATATTTAGGGGGAACGAGTACCGGATTCTTACATAGTCAAAAAGCTCCTTATAGAGAAGCTTGGAACTTTCAATACAACTTTGCCTTTTTTGCCATTTTAATTTTCCATTTAATTTAAATGTATTCTCTCATTTGACCTTCATACTCTGTGGAGAAATATTCCTATTTCGGCTTGTATTGACAAGCTGTTTTCACACAGCCCCCACATCACCCAACCAACCAGCAAGAAACAGATAAAGAAACTGAGGCCCAGGGAGGCTGAGTCCTGCCAGGATCATTCACCTTTCAAGGTAGGGAGCCAGTTCCAGACCTGGGTTTGTGCAGCTCCAAGCTCCCCCGTCTTTCTACAATGCTAGATTTAGACTATAGCAATCTAGCAAGTGTGGCCACACAATGGTCAAGTTGGATTTAGATGATGTTCCCTATAAATCCATTCTCCTCTCCCGTGTAAGCAAGGCAAAGTACTCCAGGCCATGGGGAGTCCCTGAAGACTCGATGAACTGCAGTGGCCACATCAGGAGGTTGCAGGTTGACCAGAACTCACCGACACAGCAGGAGAGCAGCTTGGAACCTGCAACCTAGCCAAAACCTAGTGCCTTGGATTGGGGGAGAAAACAGGCAGCCATTCCTCTCTCTCTGCTGGCTAGAGGGGATTCTGGCTTTTCCTGCCAGAGCCACCCCTTTCCCTCCTCCTAAAGTTGATGGTGGTTCTTTAAGGAAAGGGAGAAGTGCACGGTGTGATAGGGCAGGAAGAGAAGAAAATGGAGGAGAGGAGGGGACTTTCCCATAAGCAGGCAGAAGAAAAGGCAGCTGTGGTGTGTGATGGACATGGATGCAGTGGTGTCCAATGTGGGGTCAGCCCTAGATGAGAGACAGAGAGAGAGAGACAGAAAAGTGAGAGTCCTGACCCTTACGATTAACATGGGATCTGCCTGCAAATGCTGTTTAGGGCCATCGCCTCTTCCTGTACTGCTATTTTTGAGAGTGATGCTCCTGAGCCCCATGACCCAGTCAAATTTGATGTCCCCTCGAGCCAGATTCAGTGCTGGGAGTCCAGTGTGATCTGCCTGGATCTTGCTGCATTGAGAACAGGCCAGATCTTGACCCCAATACAGGGGCTGGATATGAACAGGCAACAGCTGGGTTTCTGAGTCAGAAAGACTTGGTTAATTGCTAATTGCTTAGGTGAGTAATTTAATTTTGTTGAGTCAGATTCTTCAGCTACAAAATGCAGATGACAGTACTTATTCCTCCAGGTTGTGGGGAAAATGGAGATTCTAAGCACGATGTCCATTTCACAGAAAGGTACCAATTTGGTGGCTTATTTTCCTTTCTACCTTCAGAAGTGGCTATCCCTGCCACCCAAACAGACCCTTGACTCTCAAGTGGACGGGGTCCCATTTGCACAGGGGGAGACCTTACAGCCTACGTTGAGTCTATACTTACCACTTAGTGAGCATTGTGTCCGCTCAGGGGCCTCTGTGGGCATCCGTCTCCTCTGCAGCATCTTTCCTCCCCACTGCTGGGTCTGCACATGACCCCCTCCTTGGGTTAGGCCTCTGATCAGTGATGACCTTGGTATGGTGGTGATGGTCAGTCTTGGCATCAAATGAGCCAGTTTATATCATCAGCTATTCAATAAAATACTAATCTAGGTGTCACCGTGAAAGTATTTTGTGACATTGTTATGTACGTGTTGTTACAAATGTGCATGATGCATTTACTACAGCATAGAATTTTGCCTGGGTGCCAGCCTGAAGTCTGTCCGACAGATCATAGCCATGTTAGTCCCACAGTCACAGGGGCCAATTGATTAAATTATTTTATCTCCCTTGAAAACTAAAAATAAAATCCTAAGCCCCCCACCCGACTTAACAGACCCCCTGTTGGCCAACGGAACCTCAAATAAATCTTAAAATTCAGTTCTTGGCCATGACAGGACAGGAGGTCAGACATACCTCCCTGTACCTCCCTCCCTCTTATGGTTTAGACCCCACAACTGAACAGCATTAATGTTAAAATAGAGATCATGAGACTGACAGAACAGACTCTTTGTGGCAATAAGACCTCAAATTATAAACAGGACCTAGGGCCATGCCAGGCGAGCGTTAAGTCTTGTAGCCTACTCTTAAAGAATTAACTAGATTCTAACTACCACGTGGGTTTTATTTTTCTCTAGCAACCAAGCAAGCACTGGCTGTGAGAGAAGCAAGATTAAAACAATTACAACTCACCCAGTTCACAGACGCTGAGTAACTGATCTCCTGCCCCACTAACCTTAATGACAGCTTTCTCTGGACAAGGGACTGATTTCAGTAACTTTCTCCTGATAAGAGACCATCCTCCATGGACTGGTTCTGGCCAGTTTTGGAGGCTGTGCCTGTACAGAGGCTGAGTACCTTCATGTCCCTGCTTCACTTTTTGATGTGTAGGGCCTAATTATAATACATTTAAATGTCAAGTCTCCACCCCAGAATGAACATGCATGTTTATGGAATATGCATGCATTAGGACCTCTTTTATGAGTATTCTCATAAAATGATATAGCTCCTCTGATATCCTATTGAGTATGTATATGTAGCCAATTCATTTGGCTCAAATTCCTGTCCTCTCCTTCCCTCCCTGGAAATGCCTGCCTCTGGCCTTGGCTGTAGGCCACACTTCCCAGCCTGTCATAATGGCCACCTTGCAGACTGCAAACCTATATAAGAAATAAAGCTCTCTTTTCTAAATTTATAAAATTGTGTGATTTTTCAGTTGATGCTCTCTTTCTGCACACACACACACACACACACACACGCAATTTATACAGAAGGAAATCTGGAGAATATATGTGGGAATGGATATTAAGTGTGTGGCACCATGGTGGAAGTAACATAAAGTTGGATTAGGCTAAATTTATTAATGTTGGCCCACTAAACAGAGATTCTGGACTCAGGGTTGTAGGTCAAAGCTTTAGAAAGGGCTCCAAGGGTTGGTTTGATCGGTTACTTGGTTGGTTGTTTGCTTGGTTGGTTGGTGCTTGCTTCCTTGCTTGGTTGTTTGGTTGGTTTGTTGCTTGCTTGCTTGTTGGTTGATTGGTTGGCTGTTTGCTTGTTTGGTGACTTGGTTGGTTGGCTGAAACAGAATCAGAGTTTACCTAAGGTACATAAAGTTGAGATGCCACAACTTCCTTGGTTTATGTGTACAGAAAGGTATGCAAAAACTCAGGGAGACTGGATTTATTATGTCAGACCTGCTCACTCACACTGGAGGGTCTACGGAACATACTCCTCACAACGATCATGAGAAAGAATATTGTGAGAGGAGCCCAGTATCCTGGAAGAGCTTTGAGCTTGTGCTCTCAGTAGGCAAAATGTTACAGCAGGAACTGCAGCCACTGGACTGGGATCTTTAAGTAAAATGAGGATAATTGAATCCTGGGGTGGCAGGGAACATGGGCTGTCCTTAATCACCAAAGATGAGGTGGGTGTGGTCACCACAGTGGAAAGCAGTGTCAAAGCAGCAGTCAGAATGGTTTGACTCACAGACACCCACGGCATTGTGTAGTCCATGGTATCCACAGGGAGAGCTAATGGGCTGTACCAAAGTCTTAGTTGTTCTTTAAAAAATGAAGAATTCTAGGTCAACTGAATAAAAGACTAACTCAAATTAATGAAACACAGATCTAAAACCCTCAATCAATTCCCAGACTTGAGCCAGTTCACAGGCCCACAACCCCTTAAGTGAAGGGGAGGCTGGGTGATCTTGGGGAAGTACGCTGCTACGTTGCCAAAAATTTACATTGTTAATCTTTTTCCCAGTCTTCCCCAAAGGGACTTACAGCCTTCTGCCAGGATGACTGTGACTTAAAGAAAAGAAAATTCTCAGATATTTGGGGAATTACTGGACACTGGCTCTCATTTGACACTATTATCACTATGTTGCCTAGGATGGATTCATGCTCCTGGGTTCAAGCAGTCCTCCTACCTCAGCCTCCCAAAGTGCTGGGATTACAGACATGAGCCACTGTGGCCAGCAGAGCTTTGAAACTAGAACATGGAGGTCCAGTGGTAAAGATCTGACAAGTCTGGGAAGAGATGGGGCCAAGGCAATGTTGATGATTCTTTTTTTTTTTTTTTTTTTTTTTTACAACAGAGTCTTGTTCTGTTGTCTAGGCTGGAGTGCGATGGCGCGATCTCGGCTCACTGCAACCTCTGCCTCCGGGGTCCAAGCAATTCTCCTGCCTCAGCCTCCTGAGTAGCTGGGATTACAGGTGCCCACCACCACACCAGGCTAATTTTTTATTTTTTTGTGTTTTTTGAGACAGAGTCTCACTCTATATCGCCCAGGCTGGAGTGCAGTGGCGCAATCTGGGCTCACTGCAAACCCCGCCTCTCAGGTTCATGCCATTCTTCTGCCTCAGCCTCACGAGTAGCTGGGACTACAGGTGCCTGCCACCGTGCCTGGCTAATTTTTTGTATTTTTAGTAGAGACGGGGTTTCATTTCACCATGTTAGCCAGGATGGTCTTGATCTCCTGACCTCATGATCTGCCCGCCTCGGCCTCCCAAAGTGCTGGGATTACAGGGATGAGCCACCATGCCCAGCCACACCAAGCTAATTTTTGTATTTCTTTTTTTAGTTGAGACAGGGTTTCACCATGTTGGCCAGGCTGGTCCCTGACCTTGTGATCCACCCGCCTCGGCTTCCCAAAGTGCTGAGATGACAGGCGTGAGCCACCGCGCCTGGCCAATGTTGATGATTCTAAACAGCAGCCGTTAATGTGAAAACCATCCAACTGGAAGCCCTGGCCTTGCCCAGAGGACACAGTCTGGGTGGTGGGCAGAGACTTCAGCTGCCTTCCAAGGCAAGCAGCTCCTTGCTGCCCGCTTGCTGGGGATTTTACTTACAGGGCAGAAGCTGGCAGGTGATTTGGGGGCAGGAATTGCTTCCTGGATGGTATAGGATGAACCACACTCCCCAGGAAGGCACTCATCCAGGTGGCCTAACAGAAGCAGCCCTCACTCCAAAAGGCAATGCTGCTCCACTAGTTTTATGGGGTGACTCCTTCCTGTAGGTTCCTTCCAGCTTTACCAGAAACACAGAACATCTTTCCTGACAGGGCATTGGTTTTGTTTTTGAACAGAGAGATCCTTCTTTTAAAAAGTTAGTTTTTTGTTTTGTTTTGTTTTGTTTTTTGTAATGGAATCAACCTATGTCCTAAGCCTAGCAGGTTGTTATTATTATTTTTATGATTATTTTTTGAGATGGAGTCCCACTCTGTGGTCCAGGCTGGAGGGCAGTGGCACGATCTCAGCTCACTGCAATGTCTGCCTCTTGGGTTCAAGAGATTCTCCTGCCTCAACCTACAGAGGAGCCAGGATTACAGGCATGCACCACCATGCCCGGCTAATTTTTGTACTTTTAGTAGAGATAGGGTGTTGCCATGTTGGCCAGGCTGATCTCAAACTCCTGACCTCAGGTGATCCACCCACCTCAGCCTCCCAAACTGCTGAGAATACAGGTGTGAGCTGCCATACCCAGCCACAGGTTATTTTTGCTGATCTTCTCCCTCCTCCCACCCTCAAAGAAAATGTGGTACATCTACACCATGGACTACTACGCAACCCTGAAAAGGAACAAAATCACGGTTTTTTTTGTTTTTGTTTTTGTTTTTTGCAGTAACATGGATGTAGCTGGAGGCCATTATCTTTTTTAATTATTTTTATTATTTTTTTTCTATTCTACTTTAAGTTCTGGGGTATATGTGCAGAATGTGCAGGATTGTTACATAGATATACATGTGCCATAGCGGTTTGCTGCACCCATCAACCCATCATCTACATTAGATATTTCTCATAATGCTGTCCCTTCCCCAGTCCCCCACCCCTGCAGTAGGCCCCAGTGTGTGATGTTCCCCTCTCTGGGTTGATATGTTCTCATTGTTCACTTCCCACTTATGAGTGAGAACATGCACTGTTTGGTTTTCTGCTCCTGTGTCACTTTGCTGAACATGAGGGTTTCCAACTTCATCCATGTCCCTGCAAAGGACATGAACTCATCTTTTTCATGGCTGCATAGTATTCCACAGTGTCTATGTGCTACATTTTCTTTATCCAGTCTATCACTGATGAGCATTTGGGTTGGTTCCACATCTTTGCTATTGTGAACAGTGTGGAGGCCATTATCTTAAGTAAATTAATAGAATGCTGCGTGTTCTCACTTATAAGTGGGAGCTAAATGTTGTGTATATGTAGACACAGAGAAGGGAACAGATATTGGGGTCTAGTTAGGGGGAGAGAGGAAGGTAGAAGGACAAGAGTTGAAAAAACCAACTGTGGGGTATTATGCTCACTACCTGGGTGATGGGATCACTCATACCCCAGACCTCAGCATCACACATCGTACCCATGTAAGAAACCTGTACATGTACCTCCTGAATCCAAACTGCTCCACCATTTGCACCAGCAATTCCAAGACTGGGCATCTACCCAAAGGAAAAGAAGTCATTCTACCAAAAAGACACATGCATGTTAAAGTTCCTTTTTTTTGTTTGTTTTTTGAGATGGAGTCTCGCTCTATTTCCCATGCTGGAGTGCAGTAGCAATCTCGGCTCACTGCAACCTCTGCCTCCAGGGTTCAAGTGATTCTCCTGCCTCAGCCTCTTGAGCAGCTGGGATTACAGGCATGCGCCACCATGCCTGGCTAATTTTTGTATTTTTAGTAGAGACAGGGTTTCACCATATTGACCAGGCTGGTCTCGAACTCCTGACCTCAGGTGATCTGCCCACCTTGGCCCTCCAGAGTGCTGGGATTACAGCGCCTGGCCCTGTAAGGTTCATCACAGCACGACTTACAATAGGAAAGTCATGGAATCAACCTAGTTGCCCATCAGTGGGGTACTGGATAAAGCAAAAGTGGTTCTTCTACAGCATCGAATACTACACAGCCATGAAAAAGAATAAAATCATGTCCTTTGCGGCCACATGGATGTAGCTGGAGGGCATTATGCTTAATGAATTAACACAAGAACAGAAAATCAAATACCACATGTTCTTGTCTGGATAAAGCAATTGTGGCCCTTCTACACCATGGAATACTGCACAGCCATGAAAAAGAATAAAATCATGTTTTTGCAGCCACATGGACACAGCTGAAGGGAATTATGCTTAGTGAATTAACGCCAGGAAAAGAAAATCGAATACCACATGTTCTCCACTAGATAAAGCAAATGTGGTCTTTCTGCATCATGGAATACTACACAGCCACGAAAAAGAATAATGTCATGTCCTTTGCAGCCACATGGACACAGCTGAAGGACATTATGCTTAGTGAATTAATGCCAGGAACAGAAAATGAAATACTACATGTTCTCAACTGGATAAAGCAAATGTGGCCCTTCTACACCACGGAATACTACACAGTGATGAAAAAAATAAAATCATGTCTTTGCAGCCACATGGATGCAGCCAGAGGGCATTATGCTTAGTGAATCAATATGAGGAACAGAAAATCAAATACCACATGTTCTGCACTAGATAAAGCAAATGTGGTCCTTCTGCATCATGGAATACTACACAGCCATGAACAAGAATAAAATCATGCCCTTTGCAGCAACGTGGATGAAGCTGAAGGGCATTATGCTTAGTGAATTAATGCCAGAAACAGAAAATCAAATACCACATGTTCTCAATTAGATAAAGTAAATGTGGTCCTTCCGCATCATGGAATACTACACAGCCATGAACAAGAATAAAATCATGCCCTTTGCAGTCACATGGATGAAGCTGAAGGGCACTATGCTTAGTGAATTAACGCCAGGAACAGAAAATAAAATACCACATGTTTTTGCTTATAGGTGGGAGCTAAACATTGCCTGCACCTGGACACAATGAAGGGGCACCACAGACCCTCAGGACTAATAGAGTAGGAAGCAGGGGCGGGGGTACAAGGGTTGAAAAACTACCCTGAGATTCTTTGAATTTCAGGCAGAAGGCAGCAACTGGAGAGATCTTTGGGTCACGGATTTTTCTGTTGCATTTTCTTGCTTGTTTGTTTTCTATCTCTCTCTCTCTCTTTTTTTTTCTTTTTTTTTGAGATGGAGTCTCACTCTGTGACCCAGGCTGGAGTGCAGTGGTGCAATCTCGGCTCCCTGCAACTTCTGCCTCCTGGATTCAAGCAATTCTTCTACCTCAGCCTCCCAAGTAGCTGGGACTACAGGCACCTGCCACCACACCTGGCTAATTTTTGTATTTTTAGCAGAGACGGGGGTTTCACCATGTTGGCCAGGCTGGTCTCGAACTCCTGACCTCAGGTGATCTGCCTGCCTTGGCCTCCCAAAGTGCTGGGATTACAGGCATGAGCCACTGCACCTGGCCCTCTTCTTATATATTTCTAGAACTCCTCTCGAATTTGGGGTTTGTTTTTCTTAATTACAAGGAATCAAGTTGAATCATTAGTGCATATATAAATATACATTTTATTTTTAGTACACATTATATACCTCAGGAATGTACAATGCTCAGCGCCTGGGTGACGGGATTATTCATACCCCAAACCTCAGCATCGTACAATATCCCCAGGACACAAAGCTGCCCGTGGATCCCCTGAATCTATAATAATAATAATTAATAATAATAATAATAAATAAAAAGTGACTTTGTCATTCGCAGGGAAATGTGAATGACATTCACTCTGCCTCTCAGGCCCTTGGATTCCCAAAGTTTGTTTTCATCACGCCCAGGGGACACTCAGAATGTCGTTTGCAGAACACGGGTTGTTTTTCTTAGAAACGCCTTGCAAAACAAAATAGGAAGCAAAATCTTTCTCACTCCTTCCACTCCATAATAGACAAAATAAAATGAGGGGGCAGGAATCCAGAGACTTTGACCACAGTTGGCAGATTTATTGTGGTACAGACATGAAGGCAAGCAGTGTTCTCTCTGATTCTATGAACCGTACAGCCCGGGCCAGCTGCCTTCTGCTTTCTGGATGGTGCAGGCGTGAGCTCCAAGCCCAAATTTCACTGGAGCTCCAAGAATCGAGCCTGGCCCAGGCACTCACTGCACGGGGGCCAAGCGTGAAACCAGTGATCGCTCCAGCAAGGTAACAGGACAGCTTGGTGATCCTTCTTGCCGGCCACAAAAGGTTATAGCCAGAATTCCACCGAATGTGGTCTTTCTGTGTCTCTCCCCAGATAGTGAAGCTGCACAAACCTGGGGGTGGGGGGTGGGGGGTGCTGACCTCAGTGGGGTGTCCTGGAGAGGCAGGAACCAGGGTTTACAGGGTGCAGACCCTACTGAAGCAAATGGACGTGGCATCCGTGGGCAGAGCTGGCTGTGGCTGGCCTTCCAGCCTGGATGTCTCACCCCCCCCCGCCTGGGGTGTCACCAGATGCACCCAGAGACCCCTTCTAAACCTGGGGGGATGTGCTGACCTCAGTGGGGTTTCCTGGAGAAGCAGGAAGCTGGGTTTCCAGGGTACATATCCTACTGAAGCAAATGGACGTGGCATCCTTGGGCAGAGCTGGCTGTGGCTGGCCTTCCAGCCTGGACGTGTCCCCCACTGCCTGGGGTGTCACCAAATGCACCCAGAGACCTCTCTTCTGAAAGCCCATTCATGGGAAGCCTCCAGGTCTCCTCAGCAGGCAGCATCACGTCTGATTTCACTGCGTTATCAGGTAATGCAGGCCTGTTCTACCTGTGTGCGTGAGCGCGTGTGTGCCGTGTGGGAGTGTGTGTGTTGATGTGGGTGTGGGTGTGTGCTTGTGTGGCTGTGTGTGTGTGCCTGTTTATGTGATGATGAGTGTGTCTGTGAGTCTGTAAGACAACGTGTGTTTCCATGCGTGTTTCTGTGTGAGCGTGCATTCCTGTGTTTTATGGAAGTGTGTTTTTGTGATGGTGTTTTTGTGTGCCCCTGCGTTTATCGTATTTGTGTGTTTGTGAATATGAGTGTATGTGTGTGAATCTGTATGGCAATGTATAAATTCTTTTTTTTTTTTTTTTTTTTGAGACGGAGTCTCGCTCTGTCACCCATACTGGAGTGCAAAGGCACAATCTCAGCTCACAGCAACCTCCGCCTCCCGGGTTCAAACGATTCTTCTGCCTCAGCCTCCTGAGTACCTGGGATTACAGGCAGCCACCGCCACATCTGGCTAATTTTTCTTTTTTGATACGGAGTCTCGTTCTGTCGCCCAGGCTGGAGTGCAGTGGCGTGATTTGGCTCACTGCAACCTCTGCCTCCCGGGTTCAAATGATTCTCCTGCCTCAGCCTCCTGAGTAGCTGGGATTACAGGCATAAGCCACCACATCTGGCTAATTTTTGTATTTTTGAGTAGAGATGGGGTTTCACCATGTTGGCCAGGCTGGTCTGGAACTCCCGACCTCAAGTTATCTGCCCGCCTCGGCCTCCCAAAGTTCTGGGAGTACAGGCGTGAGCCACCTTGCCCGGCCCCAGTGTGTGAATTTTTATGTTTGTGTGTCTACATGATTATGTGAGTCTTTTTGTGACTGTGTTTCCATGAGTGTGTGACTGTATTTATGTGTTTGTGTGTGCTTGTGTGATTCTGAGTATGTCTATGAGTGTGTATGACATATGTGAGTGTCTGTGTGGGTGAGTAGCCATCCACGTGTTTATATGAGAGTGTTTTCATGATTCTGTTTATGAGTGACTTTGTATGTATACGTGTTTGTGTGCTTTGTGAGAATGTCAATGTGCATGTGCACCCACGTGTGCAAAAAACCCACACATTTTTGTAATTGTGTTTGTGTGTGTGTCCCTGCATTTGTGTGAGTGTGCATGTCTTCGTGTGTCCATGTGTTTCTATGAGTGTGTTTTGTGATTCTGTCTGTCTTTGTGTTGATGTGTGTTTGTGTAAGTGTGTGGTTGCATTTGTGTCAGTGATTCTGGAGCAGGTGAGCTGATCACAAGTCTGAGCCGAGAATCTATGGAGCTCATTTACAACAGAAGCCGGGACCCTGTGCAAATCCTTCTGAAATATCCCCGGTTTACAGAGCTCCTAGGGGTGGGGAAGAAAAATTCCCTGACTTTTCGGCCTCAGGGAAAGAGAGAGACACCCCGCTGGCCGTACACCTCTGCTGTTTCTCAGAAAACAGGTGGGGTATCACTCTTTCCCAAATGACGGTGATTTTAAGAAGGGTTCAACTTTTGAAGAGACGTTTCTGCCCTGGCGATCCATACATATTGAACCCAAATGAATATTTTTTAATTAAAAATTTTTATATAAATATACATTGTGCATACTTTATATTAATATATTGATATAAATATATTTTATTAATATAAACATGATTTTTATAGTTCATATAAATAAAGTTATATATAGTGTATATGTAAAATATACTTTTATTTGTGATACATAATTTTATAGATTAAATTTTATATACTAAGCAAAGTTATATGTGATATATACATGCCATATAACATCATTTATATAATATATCTTTATGTAAATAAGTATATAATAAAATTGATCTTATATTTGTTAATACATAATTATGTATATATACTATGTAAAAATAAAATTATATATTGTATGTGCATAATTATATTTCTATAAATACACGCTTATGTGTGTATTTATACATGAATGCCTGTGTTTGTGTGAGTACATCAGTGAGTGCGTGAATGTGTGTGTGTGCATGTGTGCCTGTGTTTGTGTGAGTGTAAGAGTGTTGTACATTTATACACACACATTTTGTTTTCTGGTTAATAACAAGATCTATCTTTGATTTAGGATATGAAGAATTCTTATAAGCAACCCCCCACACAAAATTTGTATTTATTTTAAAATATTCTTAAAATATGGGTTCTTTTATTTTTGCACAAACAGACAAGAGTGTTTTTTCTTTCCAAAACTTTTATTTCAAATTCTGACCCTGAGGAGCAGAAAAAGAAGAAAACATTGTGTAACCTTATATACTTTAGAAACATAAGTAGTTACTAAATGCAATACAGATTTTGACAACATGCATTTAGGAAAAACGAGGAATTCAAACTCGTAGCTGCCTCAATATTGAACTTTCTAAAGTTTAATTCTTTTTAATTAAAAAATATTCATTTGGGTTCAATATGTATGGATCTCCAGGGCAGAAATGTCTCTCCAAAAAGTGAACCACTCTGAAAATCACCGTCATTTGGGAAAGGGTGATGCCCCAGCTGTCTTCTGAAAAATAGCAGAGGCTTCCGCTCAGTGGGGTGTCTCTCTCTTTCCCTGAGGCCGAAATGTCAGGGAATTTTTCTTCCCCACCCCTAGGAGCCCAGTAAATGGAGAATATTTCAGAAGGATTTGCACAGGGTCCCGGCTTCTGCTATTTATGAGCTCCATGGATTCTTGGCTCAGGCTTGTGATCAGCTCACCTGCTCCAGAATCACTTCCCATCTTAGCTTCTGGGCTAAGACACCTCAAAACCAGCAAAGGAAAGTCCTCACTGGTCAACACGTCCATCCCAACTCCCCCATCTCCCCTTAGGGTGGGTTTGGGGTTCGGGACTGCTTTACTGTTCCTTTCAAAGCAGACTGGGAGGTAAGATTTTATTCTGCTTCCAGAGGTTCAGGATTTCTGCAGACGGTCAGCAACTCTTTGCATCCTACTGGTAAAAGTTTTATATACTTTGTATTTATAGAAATACGCATTGTGTATATTTTATATGAATAGATTGATATAAATTATTTTAGTAACTTAACCATATGACTTTTATATTTTTATATAAATAAAGTTATATGTAGTGTATATGTAAAATACTTTTATTTCTAATACATAATTTTATAGATTAAATTTAATATATTAAGCAAATACTTTTATTTCTAATACATAATTTTATAGATTAAATTTAATATATTAAGCAAAAATATATGTAACATATATAACATATAACATCATTTATATAATATATAACTTAATGTAAATAAGTATATAAAATTGATATTATATTTGTTAATACATAATTATACATATATACTGTGTAAAAATAAAATTACATATTGTATATGCATAATTATATTTCTATAAGTACAATTATATACTATGTATAATTATGTATAAAATAATTGTATAATAAAATTATATAATAAATTTTGAAACGTTATAAATTATTATACATAGTATTTTATTGTATTAAATTTAGAAATGCGTTATATGTAATAAAATTTTATTATAATAAATGTAGATTATATAAAATCTTATTTATAATAAATTACCTTATGTATAATTATAATATGAGAAAATAATTACATATCATTGTATTATAATAAATTTAGAGATGTTATACATTATTATATATAAAATTTCATTATATTAAATTTAGAAATATATATAATAAAATGGTATTATGTTAAAATTTTTATGTAACATTTTATTATACATGTATAATTTTATATAATGTTTTATAATATATAGAATATAAGTACACAGAATATAAGTACAAAAATATTTATATACAGCTACACGTAATATAAATACATCAGTGTAAGATGTTTTGTGTGTGTGAGATGGAGTCTCGCTCTGTTGCCCAGGCTGGAGTGCAGCAACACGATCTCGGCTCACTGCAACCTCTGCCTCCTGGGTTCAAGCGATTCTCCTGCCTCAGCCTCCCAAGTAGCTGGGATTACAGGCATGCACCACCACACCCAATCAATTTTTGTATTTTTAGTAGAGATGGGGTTTCACTGTGTTAGCCAGGATGGTCTCAAACTCCTGACCTCAGGTGATCCACACGCCTCAGCCTCCCAAAGTGCTGGGATTACAGGCATGAGCCACAGTGTAAGATACTAGCTATTAAAAAATAAATATATATATATACTGCAACAGCTGATTTGTCTGGAAGAGTTTGGTCAGAAGACAGTGTATTAAGAAGACTGTGAGTCCCCAGAGGAATATAAGAATATACATCATGTTGATATATTATATATAACATAAATAGCTAACTACATCTGTGTATATAGTATAAACAAAAGTACAAAAATATTTGTATATAACTATATGTAATATAAATATATCAGTGTAAGATATTAGCTATTAATATATATATATATATATAGAGAGAGAGAGAGACAGCAACCGGTGATTTGTCTGGAATATTCTAGTCAGAAGACAGTGTATTAAGAAGACAGTGAGTCCCCAGGAGAATACAAGAATGTGCATCATGTTAATATATTATATATAACATAAATACCTAACAACATCTGTATATATAGTATAAACATAAAGTACAAAAATATTAGTATATTACTATATGTAATATAAATATATCAGTGTAAGATATTAGCTATTAAAATATACATATGTGTGTATGTATGTGTATATGTGTATATAAATATTATATATATATATAGTAACCGCTGATTTGTGTGGAAGACTTTGGTCAGAAGACAGTGTATTAAGAAGACAGTGGGTCCTCACAGGAAAATAAGAATATACATCATGTTTATATTATATATAACATAAACAACTAATTACATCTGTATATACAACATAAACATAAAGTACAAAAATATTGTATATAATCATATGTAATATAAATATACCAGTGTAAGATATTAGCTATTAAAATATACATGTGTGTATGTATGTGTATATGTGTACATATAATATATATACATATATAACATATATAATATATAAGATATAGCATAATAATATAATATATTATATATAATATGTAATATGTAACATATATAATTAATATATAATATATAATATATTCTATGCTATATAATATATAATATATTCTATGTAATAAAATATATAGCCTATATATATATATAGCAACAGCTGATTTGTCTGGAAGAATTTGGTCAGAAGACAGTGTATTAAGAAGACAGTGAGTCCCCAGAGAAATATAAGAATATACATCATGTTTATATTATATATAACATAAATAGCTAACTACATCTGTATATATAGCATAAACATAAAGCACAAAATTATTTATATATAATATAAATATATCAGTGTAAGATATTAGCTATTAAAAAATATATATATAGCAACCGGTGATTTGTCTGGAAGACTGGTCAGAAGACAGTGTATTAGGAAGACAGGCAGTCTCCGCAGGAAGCATGGTGCAGGTGGGATCTGGAGGTGACTCTGGGCTGCCAGAAGACGCCCCACTGCTTTGCGGCAGACACAGGTGGAGAGGTCCTCTCTGTAGCTTCAGCATGGACAGTGTGTGTGTCTTGCTGTGGGAACACTTCTTTCTGCTTCCCTCTCCACTGTGACCCCATCACACTCACTGACCTGCCCTCCTCCTTCCTCTCGCTCTCCGGGGCCCCTGTGGAAAGAGGGTCTTCCCTCCGTGCAGCAGGAACCCCCAGGACCATCCCCATGCTCCTGGGTTCTGAACTTCAGGGACATATGATCCTACCTGACCGGGCACAGGCTCTGTTCACCCTCAGGAACCCCTGTCCTCCCAGGCCACCATGGACTGGAGAACTGGCCTCCTGAAAATCCAGAGAGAACTTAGCACTCACAACTTCTTTCTTTTTTTCTTTTTTCTTTGAGACTGGATCTTGCTCTTTTCCCCAGGCTGGAGTGCAATGGCATGATCTCAGCTCACTGCAACCTCCTCCTCCCAGGTTCAAGCAGTTCATCCCGCCTCTGTCTCCCGAGTATCTGGGATCACAGTCATCCACCCCTGCGGCCAACTAATTTCTGTATTTTTAGTAGAGACGGGGTTTCACCATGTTGGCCAGGCTGGTCTCGAACTCTTGACCTCAAGTGATCCACCCGCCTCGGCCTCCCAAAGTACTGGGATGACATATATTAGCATGATGTATATTCTTCTATTCCTCCGGGGACTCACTGTCTTCTTGGGCAGTAAACCACTGTGCCCGGACTTCTCTGTCCACATCTGCACACATCTAAACCTCTGTAGATTCTGAATTGTTCTTCCTTTTGCACAGAATGAGAGGAACTGAAGTCGGGAGGCCCAGCCCCAACACGGTCCCTGTGGCTCTGTGCTCAGGTGGTTTATGGCTGAGAAGGACTTGGGGGGTTGAGGGCTTCCTATCAGCCCAGGAGACATTACCTGGGTCTGGGAAGCCTGCTCTGCACTTGTGGGTCTCGAATTGTCTGTTGCATTTACCTGCCTCATTATTTTTTCTTCCTGTCTCTCTTCTTACATATTTCTTTCGAATTTGGAGCTTGTTTTTCTTAACTACAATCAACTTGAATCATTACTGCATATATAAATATAAATTTTATATTGAGTAGACATTATATACTCAATCTACTACACATTCCAACACGGGCCATATCTAAGACGAATATTTATATTTAATGTTTAAAATATGTTTACATTTCATATAGAAAAATATATTTATATTTAATATATATGTGTATATTTAATACAGGAAATATATATTTATATTTAACATATAAAAATATATGTTTATATTTAATATGGGAAATATATGTCTTTGTTTAATATACATAATACATGTTGATATTTAATATAGAAAATGTATAGTTATATTTACTATGCAAAATACATGTTTATATTTAATATAGAAAATATGTTTATATTTAATGTACAGGATACATATTTACATTTAATATAGAAAATACATATTTATATTTAACATACACAGTATTTATATTTAATGTATAAAATATGTTTACATTTAATGTGCTGAATATATGCTTATATTTAATGTCTAAAATGTCTATATTTAATGTACTGTATACATTAAATGTACCAAATGTATTCTTATATTTAATGTATAAAAGAAGTTTATATTTAACATATAAGATATGTTTACATTTAATGTATAAAATGTTTATGTTTGATGTATAAAAGATGTTTATATTTAACGTATACAATTTATATTTAATGTACCAAATATATTATTATATTTAATGTCCAAGCCAGCCAAGCCAGTCAGCCAAGCCAGCTAAGCCACCCACCCAGCCAAGCCAGCCAAGTGAGTCAGCTAGCCAGCCAGCCAAGCCAGCCAAACCAGCCAAGCCAGTCAGCCAGCCAAGCCAGCCAAGCCTGCCAGCCAGCCAAGCCAGCCAAGCCTGCCAGCCAGCCAAACCAGCCAAGCAAGCCAGCCAGCCAAGCCAGCCAGCCAGCCCAGGAGCCCCAGCCAGCCAGCCAACCCAAACAGCCAGGCAGCCAAGCAAACCAAGCCAGCCAGCCAGACAAGGCAGCCAAGCCAGCAGGCCAAGCGAGCCAAGCCAAGCCAGCCAAGCCAGCCAGTTAGCCAGCCAAGCCAGCCAAGCCAGCCAGCCAGCCAAGCCAGCCCAGCCAGCCAGCCAGCCAGCCGAGCCGGCCAAGCCAGACAGCGAGCCCAGCCAGCCCAGCCAGTCAGCCAGCCAAACCAGCCAGCCAGCCAAGCCAGCCAGCCACCCAGCCAAGCCAGCCACCCAGCAAAGCCAGCCAAGAGACCCAAGCCAGCCAGCAAAGCTGGCCAAACCAGCCAAGCCAGTCAGCCAAGCCAGCCAAGCCGGCCACCCAGCCAAGCCAGCCAAGCCAGCCAACCAGCCAGACAGCCCAGCCAGACAGCCAGCCCAGGCAGCCAAGAGACCCAAGCCAGCCAGCGAAGCTGGCCAACCCAGCCAAGCCAGTCAGCCAAGCCAGCCAAGCCGGCCACCCAGCCAAGCCAGCCAAGCCAGCCAACCAGCCAGGCAGCCAGCCCAGGCAGCCAAACCAGACAAGCCAGCCAGCCAAGCCAGCCAGCCAGCCAAGCCAGCCAAGCCGGCTAGCCAGCCCAGACAGCCAAGCCAGCCAAGCTAGCCAAGCCTCCCAGCCAGCCAAGCCAGCCAAGCCACCCAGCCAGCCAAGCCAGCCAAGCCAATCAGCCAGCCAGGCAGCCAGCCACCCAAGCCAGCCAAGGCAGCCAAGCCATCCAAGCCAGCCAGCCAGCCAGCCAGCCAAGCCAGCCAAGCCTCCCAGCCAGCCAAGCCAGCCAAGCCACCCAGCCAGCCAAGCCAGCCAAGCAACCTAGCCAGCCAGGCCCGCCAGCCAGCCAAGCCAGCCAAGCCACCTAGCCAGCCAGGCCCGCCAGCCAGCCAGGCAGCCAAGCCAGCCAAGCCAGTCAAGCCTGCCAGCCAGCCAAGACAGGCATGCCAGCCAAGCCAGCCAGGCAGCCAAGCCAGCCAAGCCAGCCAGCCAGCCAAGCCAGGCATGCCAGCCAAGCCATCCAGCTAGCTAAGCCAGCTGGCTAGCCAAGCCAGCCAAGCCACCCGGCCGGCCAAGCCAGCCAAGCCAGCCAACCAGCCAAGCCAGCCAGCTAGCCAAGCCACCCAGCCAGCCAGCCAGCCAAACCAGCCAAGCCACCCAGCCAGCCAAGTCACCCAGCCAGCCAAGCCAGCCAAGACGGCCAGGCAGCCAGCCACCCACGCCAGCCAAGCCAGCCAAGCCGGCCAAACCAGCCAACCAGCCAAGCCAGCCAGCCATCCAAGCCAGCCAAGACAGCCAGCCAGCCAAGCCAGTCAAGCCAGCCATACAGCCAAGCCAGCCAAGCCAGGCAAGCCACCCAGCCAGCCAAGCCATCTAGCCATCAAGCCAGTCAGGCCAGCCTGCCAGCCTGCCAAGCCGGCCACCCACCAAGCCAGCCAGCCATCCACGCCAGCCAAGCCAGTTAGCCAGCCAGCCAAGCCACCCAGCCAGCCAAGCCAGCCAAGCCACACAGCCAGCCAGCCAAGCCACCCAGCCACCCAAGCCAGCCAAGCCACACAGCCAGCCAAGCCACCCAGCCAGCCAAGACAGCCAAGCCACACAGCCAGCCAAGCCATCCAGCCAGCCAAGACAGCCAAGACAGCCAAGCCATCCAGCCAGCCACGCAAGCCAAGCCAGCCAGCCAGCCAAGCAATCCATGCCAGCCAAGCCATCCAGCCAGCCAAGCGAGGCGTCCGGCCAAGCCACCCCACCAGCCAAGCCAGCCAGCCAGCCAAGCCAGCCAAGCCATCCAGCCAGCCACGCAAGCCAAGCCAGCCAGCCAGCCAAGCAATCCATGCCAGCCAAGCCATCCAGCCAGACAAGCAAGGCGTCCGGCCAAGCCACCCCACCAGCCAAGCCAGCCAGCCAGCCAGCCAGCCAGCCAAGCCACCCAAGCCACCCAGCCAGGCATGCCAGCCAAGCCACCCAGCCAGCCAAGCCTGTCAGCCAGCAAACCAGCCAAGCCAGCCATGCCAGCCAGCCAGCCAAGCCATACAAGCCAGCCAGCCAGCCATGCCAGGACGAGACTCCATCTCAAAAAAAATAAAAAAAAAAAACAGCCTGGCCAACATGATGAAACCCCGTCTCTACTAAATGTATAAAAAATTATCTAGGCGTGTTGGCACATGCCAGTAATCCCAGCTACTCGGGAGGCCCAGGCAGGAGGATCGCTTTAACCAGGGAGGTGGAGGTTGAAGCGAACCAAGATTGCACCACCTCATTCCAGCCTGGGCAACAGGGTGAGACTCAATCTCAGAAAAAGAAAAAAAAAAAGGCCAGTCTGGCCAACACGGTGAAACCCCATCTCTACTAAATATAAAAAGAAATTAGCTGGGCGTGGTGGCACATGAATGTAATCCCAGCTACTCGGGAGGCCCAGACAGGAGGATCGCTTGAACCCTGGGGGTGGAGGCTACAGCGAGCCAAGATTGCACCACTGCACTCCAGCCTGGGCAACAGGGCGAGACTCCATCTCAGAAAAAATAAAATAAAATAGACCAGCCTGGCCAACACGGTGAAACCCCATCTCTACAAAATATACAGAAAAATTAGCTGGGGGTGGTGGCACACACCTGTAATCCCAGCTACTCGGGAGGCCCAGGCAGGAGGATCACTTGAATCAGGGAGGTGGAGGCTGCAGCGAGCCAAGATTGCACCACTGCACTCCAGCCTGGGCAACACAGTGAGACTCCATCTGAAAAAACAGAAGCATTCCAGCCTGGCCAATAGAGCGAGACTCCATCTCAAAAAAAAAAAAAAAAAAAAAAAAAAACACCAGCCTGGCCAACATGGTGAAACCCCGTCTATTCTAAATATACAAAAAAAATAGGGCCGGGCGTGGTGGCTCATGCCTGTAATCCCAGCACCTTGGGAGGCCAAGGTGGGTGGATCACGAGGTCACGAGATTGAGACCAGCCTGACCAACATGGTGAAACCCCGTCTCTACTAAAAATAGAAAAATTAGCTGGGTGTGGTGGCACATGCCTGTAATCCCTGCTACTCGGGAGGCTGAGGCAGGAGAATTGCTTGAACCTGGGAAGCGGAGGTTGCAGTGAGCCGAGATGGCGCCACTGTACTCCACGGTGGTGTCAGAGTGATACTACATCTCAAAAAAAAAAAAAAATAGCTGGGTTTGGTGGCACACACCTGTAATACCAGGTACTCGGGAGGCCCAGGCAGGATGATCACTTGAACCCGGGAGGGGGTGGTTGCCGTGAACCAAGATTGTACCACTGCACTCCAGCCTGGGCAACAGGGCGAGACTCCATCTCAGGAAAAAAAAAAAAAAAGACCAGCCTGGTCAACATGGTGAAACCCCGTCTCTACTAAATATAAAAAAAATTACCTGGATGTGGTGGCACATGCCTGTGATCCCAGCTGCTCGGGAGGCCCAGGAAGGAGGATCGCTTGAACCTGGGAGGTGGAGGCGGCAGCGAGCCAAGATTGCACCACTGCACTCCACCCTGGATAACAGAATTAGACTCTATATGAAAAAAAAGAAGAACTCCAGCCAGAGCAATAGAGTGATATTCCATCTCAAAAAAAAAAAAAAAAAAAAAAAAAAAAAAGACCAGCCTGGCCAACATGGTGAAACCCTGTGTCTATAAAATATACAAAAAAATTAGCTGGGGGTCATGGCACATGCCTGTAATCTCAGCTACTCGGTGGGCATAGGCTGGAGGATCGCTTGAACCCGGGAGGTGGAGGTTGCAGGGAACCAAGAATGCACCACTGCACTCCAGCCTGGGCAAAAGGGTGAGACTCCGTCTTAGAAAAAATCAAAAGAAACAAAAAAAAGAGCAGCCTGGCCAACATGGTGAAACCCCATCAGTACTAAATATATAAAAAAATTAGCTGGGCATGGTGGCACACGGCTGTAATCCCAGCTACTCGGGAGGCCCAGGCAGGAGGATCACTTGAACCCGGGAGGTGGAGGCTGCAGAGAGCCAATATTGCACCACTGCACTCCAGCCTGGGCAACAGGGTGAGACTCCATCTCAAAAAAAAAAAAAAAAAAAAAAAGACCAGCCGGACCAACATGGTGAAACGCCGTCTCTACTAAATATACAAAAAAATTACCTAGGCGAGGTGGCACACGCCTGTAATCCCAGCAACTCGGGAGGCCAAGGCAAGAGGATCGCTTGAACCCGGGAGTTAGAGGCTGCAGGGAGCCAAGATTATACCACTGCACTTCAGCCTGGGCAACACAGCGCGACTACGTCTCAGAAAAAGAAAAAAAAAGGTTGGCCAACATAGTGAAACATGTCTCTACTAAATATACAAAAAAATAAGCTTGGCATGGTGGCACACACCTCTAATCCCAGCTACTCGGGAGGCCCAGGCAGGAGGATCGCTTCAACCCGGGTAGGTGGAGGCTGCAGCAAGCCAAGATTGCACCACTGCACTCCGGCCTGGGCAACAGGGTGAGACTCCATGTGACAAAAAAAAAAGCACTCCAGCCTGGGCAATAGAGCGAGACTCCATCTCAAAAAAAAAAAAAGACCAGCCTGGCCAACATGTTGATACCCTGTCTCTACTAAATATATAAAAAAATTAGCTGGGCATGGTGGCACACGGCTGTAATCCCAGCTACTCGGGAGGCCCAGGCAGGAGGATCGCTTGAACCCGGGAGGTGGAGGCTGCAGTGAGCCAAGATAGCACCACTGAACTCCAGCCTGGGCAACAGGGTGAGACTCCATCTCAGAAAAGAGAAAAAAAAAAAAAAAGACCAGCTTGGCCGACATGGTGAAACCTCATCTCTACTAAACATACAAAAGTATTAGCTGGGCGTGGTGGCACACGCCTGTAATCCCAGCTACTCGGGAGGCTCAGGCAGGTGGATCGCTTAAACTTGGGAGGTGGAGGTTGCAGCAATCCAAGATTTCAACAGTGCACTCCATCCTAGGCAACAGGGTGAGACTCCATCTCAGAAAAAAAAAAAAAAAAAAAAAGACCAGTTTGGCCAACATGGTGAAACCCCGTCTCTACTAAATATACAAAAAAATTAGCTGGACATGGTGGCACACGCCTGTAATCCCAGCTACTCGGGAAGCCCAGGAAGGAGGATCGCTTGAACCCGGGAGGTGGAGGCTGCCGCGAGCCAAGATTGCACCACTGCACTCCAGCCTGGGCAACAGGGTGGACTCCATCTCAGAAAAAAAAAAAAAAAAAAAAAAAGACCAGCCTGGTCATCACGGTGAAAACCCGTCTCTACTAAATATACAAAAAAAATTAGCTGGGGGTGGTGGCACACACCGGTAATCCCAGCTACTCGGGAGGCCCAGGCAGGAGGATCGCTTGAACCCGGGAGGTGGAGGCTTCAGTGAGCCAAGATTGCACTACTGCACTCCGGCCTGGGCAACAGAAAGAGACTCTATCTCAAAAAAAAGAAGCACTCCAGCCTGGGCAATAGAGCGAGACTCCATCACAAAAGAAGAAAAAAAAAAAAGACCAGCCTGGCCAACATGGTGAAACCCCGTCTCTACTAAATATACAAAGAAATTAGCTGGCCGAGGTGGCACACGCCTGTAATCCCAGCTACTCCGGATGCCCAGGTAGGAGGATCACTTGAACCCGGGAGGTGGAGGCTGCAGCAAACCAAGATTACACCACTGCACTCCAGCCTGGGCAACAGGGCGAGACTCCATCTGAGAAAAAAAAAAAAAGACCAGCCTGGCCAACATGGTGACACCCCGTCTCTACTAAATATATAAAAAAATTAGCTGGGCGTGGTGGCACATGGCTGTAATCCCAGCTACTCGGTAGCCCCAGGCAGTAGGATCGCTTGAACCTGGGAGGTGGAGGCTGCAGCGAGCCAAGATAGCACCACTGAACTCCAGCCTGGGCAACAGGGTGAGACTCCATCTCAGAAAAGAGAGAAAAAAATTAAAAAAAGACCAGCTTGGCCGACATGGTGAAACCTCATCTCTACTAAAAATAAAAAAGTATTAGCTGGGCATGGTGGCACACGCCTGTAATCCCAGCTACTCGGGAGGCCCAGGAAGGAGGATTGCTTGAACCCGGGAGTTTGAGGCTGCAGCGAGCCAAAATTGCACCACTGCACTCCACCCGAGTGAGACTCCATCTGAAAAAAAGAACTACAGCCAGGGCAATATAGCGAGACTCAACCTCAAAAAAAAAAAAAAAAAAAAAAAAAAAACCACCAGCCTGGCCAATATGGTGAACCCCGTGTCTACTAAATATACAAAAAAATTAGCTGGGTGTCATGGCACACGCCTGTAATACCAGCTACTTGGTAGTCACAGGCAGGAGGATCGCTTGAACCCGGGAGGTAGAGGCTGCAGTGAGCCAAGATTGCACCACTGCACTCCAGCCTGGGCAACAGGGTGAGACTCCATCTCAGAAAAAAAAAAAAAACAAAAAGAGCAGCCTGGCCAACATGGTGAAACCCCGTCAATACTAAATATACAAAGAAATTAGCTGTGCATGGTGGCACACGAATGTAATCCCACATACTCGGGATGCCCAGGAAGGAGGATCGCTTAAACCCGGGAGGTGGAGGCTGCAGCGAGCCAAGATTGCACCACTGCACTCGAGCCAGGGCAACAGGGCCAGACTCCATCTCAAAAAAAAAAAAAAAAGACCAGCCTGGGCAACATGGTGAAACCCCGTCTCTACTAAATATACAAAAAAATTGCTGGGCGTATTGCTACACGCCTGTAATCCCCGCTACTTGGGAGGCCCAGACAAGAGGATCACTTGATCCCGGGAGGTGGAGGCTGCAGCGAGCCAAGATTGTACCACAGCACTTCAGCCTGGGCAACAGAGCGACACTCCATCTCAGAAAAAAAAAAAAAAAAAAGAACAGGTTGGCCAACATGGTGAAACCCCATCTCTACTAAATATACAAAATAATTAGCTGGGCGTGGTGACACACACCTGTAATCCCAGCTACTCGGGAGGCCCAGGCAGGAGGATTGCTTGAACCTGGGAGGTGGAGGCTGCAGCCAGCCAGGATTGCACCACTGCACTCCACCCTGGGCAAAATGTGAGACTCCACCTGAAAAAAAACAAGCATTCCAGCCCGGGCAATATAGCGAGACTCCAACTCGAAAAAAAAAAAGACCAGCTGGCCGACATGGTGAAACCCCATCTCTACTAAATATACAAAAATATTAGCTGGGCGTGGTGGCACATGCCTGTAATCCCAGCTACTCGGGAGGCCCAGGAAGGAGGATCGCTTGAACCCGGGAGGTAGAGGCTGCAGCGGAGCCAAGATTGCACCACTGCGCTCTATCCTGGGCAACAGAGTGAGACTCTATATGAAAAAAAAGCACTCCAGCCTGGGCAATAGAGCTAGACTCCATCTCAGAAAAAAAAAAAAAAAAGAAAGACCAGCCTTGCCAACATGGTGAAACCCCGTCTCTACTAAATATACAAAAAAATTAGCTGGGCGTCATGGCACACGCCTGTAATCCCAGCTACTCGGTAGGCCCAGGCTGGAGGAATGCTTGAACCCGGGAGGTGGAGGTTGCAGCAAACCAAGATTGCACCTCTGAACGCCTGCCTGGGCAACAGGGTGAGATTCAATCTCAGAAAAAAAAAAAAAAAAAAAAAAAAAGAGCAGCCTGGCCAACATGGTGAAAACCCATCAATACTAAATATACAAAGAAATTAGCTGAGCATGGTGGCACACGAATATAATCCCAGCTACTCGGGAGGCCCAGGTAGGAGGATCCCTTGAACCCGGGAGGTGGAGGCTGCAGCGAGCCAAGATTGCACCACTGCACTCCAGCCTGGGCAACAGGGCGAGACTCCATCTCAAAACAACAACAACAACAACAACAACAACAACAAACAGCCTGCCCAACATGGTGAAACCCCGTCTCTACTAAATATACAAAGAAATTAGCTGGGCGTCATGGCACACGAATGTAATCCCAGCTACTCGGGAGTCCCAGACAGGAGGATCGCTTGAACCTGGGAGTTGGAGGCTACAGCGAGCCAAGATTGCACCACTGCACTCTGCTCTGGGCAACAGAGTAAGAGTCCATCTGAAAAAAAAGAAGCACTCCAGACTGGGCAACAGAGCGAGACTCCATCTCAGAAAAAAAAAAAAAGACCAGGTTGGCCAACATGGTGAAATCCCATCTCTACTAAATATACAAAAAAAATTAGCTGGACGTGGTGGCACAGGCCTCTAATCCCAGCTACTGGGGAGGCCCAGGCAGGAGGATCACTTGAACCTGGGAGGTGGAGGCTGCAGCGAGCCAAGATTGCACCACTGCACTCTGGCCTGGGCAACAGAGTGAGAGTCCATCTGAAAAAAAAGAAGCACTCCAGTCTGGTCAACAGAGCGAGACTCCATCTCAGAAAAAAAAAAAAAAAAAAAAAAAAGACCAGGTTGGCCGACATGGTGAAACCCCGTCTCTACTAAATACACAAAAAAATTAGCTGGGCGTGGTGGCACACGCCTGTAATCCCAGCTACTCGAGAGGCCCAGGCAGGAGGATCGCTTGAACCTGGGAGGTGGAGGCTGCAGCGAGCCAAGACTGCACCACTGCACTCCGGCCTGTGCAACAAAGTGAGACTCCATCTGAAAAAAAAAAGCACTCCAGCCTGGGCAATATAGCAAGACTCCATCTCAAAAAAAAAAAAAAAAAGGAAAAAAGAGCAGCCTGTCCGACATGGTGAAACCACGTCTCTACTAAATATGCAAAAAAATTAGCTAGGCGTGGTGGCACACGCCTGTAATCCCAGCTACTCGGGAGGCCCAGGCAGGAGGATCGCTTGAACCCGGGAGGTGGAGGTTGCAGCGAACCAAGATTGCACCACTGCACTCCAGCCTGGGCAAGAAAGTGAGATTCCATCTGAAAAAAAAGCACTCCAGCCTGGGCAATATAGCAAGACTCCATCTCAAAAAAAAAAAAAAAAAAAGACCAGCCTGTCGAAACCCCATCAGTACTAAATATACAAAGAAATTAGCTGAGCGTGGTGGCACACGATTGTAATCCCAGCTACTCGGGAGGCCCAGGCAGGAGGATCGCTTGAACCCGGGAGTTAGAGGCTGCAGCCAGCCAAAATTGCACCATTGCACTGAACCTTGGAAAACAGATTGACACTCCATCTGAAAAAAAAGAAGAACTCCAACCAGGGCAATGGAGCGAGACTCCATCTCAGAAAAAAGAAAAAAAAAGAGCACCTTGGCCAACATGGTGAAACCCCGTCAGTACTAAATACACAAAGAAATTAGCTGAGCATGGTAGCACAGGAATGTAATCCCAGCTACTCGGGAGGCCCAGGCAGGAGGATCGCTTGAACCCGGGAGGTGGAGGTTGCAGCGAACAAAGATTGCACCACTGCACTCCAGCCTGGGCAACAGAGTGAGACTCCCACTCAGAAAAAAAAAGAAAATGAAAAAAAAACACCAGCCTGGCCAACATGGTGAAACAACGTCTCCACTAAATATACAAAAAAAATAGATGGGCGTGGTGGCACTCATCTCTCATCCCAGCTACTCGGGAGGCCAACGCAGGAGGATCACTTGAACACAGGAGGTGGAGGCTGCAGCTAGCCAAGTTTGCACCATTGCACTCCAGCCTGGCAAACCAAGCCAGCCAAGCCAACCAGCCAAGCCAGTCAAGCGACCCAGCCAGCCAGCCAGCAAGCTAAGCCACCCAACCAGCCAGCCTGCCAAGCCAGCCAAGCCAGCCAGCCAGCCAGCCAGCCAAGCCAGCCAAGCCAGCCAAGCCAACTAGCCAGCGAAGTCAGCCAAGCCAGCCAACCCTTCCAGCAAACCCCCCAGGCAGCCAAACCAGACAAGCCAGCCAGCCAAGCCAGCCAGCCAGCCAAGCCAGCCAAGCCGGCTAGCCAGCCAAGCCAGCCAGCCAGCCAAGCCAGCCAAGCCTGCCAGCCAGCCAAGCCAGCCAAGCAAGCCAGCCAGCCAAGCCAGCCAGCCAGCCCAGGAGCCCCAGCCAGCCAGCCAACCCAAACAGCCAAGTCAGCCAAGCCAGCCAGCCAGCCAAGCCAGCCAAGGCAGCCAAGCCAGCCAAGCCAGCCAGGCAGCCAAGCAAACCAAGCCAGCCAGCCAGACAAGGCAGCCAAGCCAGCAGGCCAAGCGAGCCAAGCCAAGCCAGCCAAGCCAGCCAGTTAGCCAGCCAAGCCAGCCAAGCCAGCCCAGCCAGCCAGCCAGCCAGCCGAGCCGGCCAAGCCAGACAGCGAGCCCAGCCAGCCCAGCCAGTCAGCCAGCCAAAACCAGCCAGCCAGCCAAGCCAGCCAGTCACCCAGCCAAGCCAGCCACCCAGCAAAGCCAGCCAAGAGACCCAAGCCAGCCAGCAAAGCTGGCCAAACCAGCCAAGCCAGTCAGCCAAGCCTGCCAAGCCGGCCACCCAGCCAAGCCAGCCAGCCATCCAGCCAGCCAGGCCAGCCTGCCACCCAGCCAGCCAAGACAGACAAGCCAGCCAAGCCAGCCAGCCACCCAGCCAGCCAGGCCAGCCAGCCACCCAACCAGCCCAGCCAGCCAAGTCAGCCAGCCAGCCAAGGCAGCCAAGCCAGCCAACCAAACAAGAGAGCCAGCCAACCAAGCCAGCCAAGCCAGCCAGCTAGCCAAGCCACCCAGCCAGCCAGCCAGCCAAACCAGCCAAGCCACCCAGCCAGCCAAGCCAGCCAAGCCAATCAGCCAGCTAGGCAGCCAGCCACCCAAGCCAGCCAAGCCAGCCAAGCCATCCAAGCCAGCCAGCCAGCCAGCCAGCCAAGCCAGCCAAGCCTCCCAGCCAGCCAAGCCAGCCAAGCCACCCAGCCAGCCAAGCCAGCCAAGCCACCTAGCCAGCCAGGCCCGCCAGCCAGCCAGCCAGCTAGCCAAGCCAGCCAAGCCAGCCAGGCAGCCAAGCCAGCCAAGCCAGTCAAGCCCGCCAGCCAGCCAAGACAGGCATGCCAGCCAAGCCAGCCAGGCAGCCAAGCCAGCCAAGCCAGCCAGCAAGCAAAGCCAGGCAGGCCAGCCAAGCCAGCCAGCAAGCAAAGCCAGGCAGGCCAGCCAAGCCAGCCAGACAGCCAAGCCAGCAAAACCAGCCAGCCAGCCAAGCCAGGCATGCCAGCCAAGCCATCCAGCCAGCTAAGCCAGCCAGCCAGCCAAGCCAGACAAGGCACCCGGCCATCCAAGCCAGCCAGCCAAGCCAGCCAAGCCAGCCAGCAAGCAAAGCCAGGCATGCCAGCCAAGCCAGCCAACCAGCCCAGCCAGCCAGCTAGCCAAGCCACCCAGCCAAGGCAGCCAGCCAGCCAGCCAGCCAGCCAGCCAAGCCAGCCAAGCCAGCCAGCCAGCCCAGACAGCCAAGCCAGCCAGCCAGCCAAGCCAGCCAAGAAAGCCAGCCAGCCAGCCAGCCAAGCCTGCAAAGCCAGCCAGCCAGCAAAGCCAGCCAAGTCAGCCTGCCAAGCCAGCCAAGACAGCCAGGAAGCCAAGCCGGCCAAGCCAGCAAGCCAAGCCAGCTAGCCAAGCCAGCTAGCCAAGCCAGCCAAGCCAGCCAGCCAAGCCAGCCAAGCCAGCCAAGGCAGCCAAGCCAGTCAGCCAGCCAAGCTAGCCAAGCCAGGCAGCCATCCAAGCCAGCCAGCCATCCAAGCCAATGAAGCCAGCCAGCCAGCCAAGACACCCAAGCCAGCCAAGCCAGCCAACTCAGCCAGCTAGCCAAGCCAGCCAAGCCAGCCAGACAGTCAAGCCAGCCAAGCCAGCCAGCCAACCAAGCCAGCTAAACCAGCCAGCCTGCCAAGCCAGCCAAGCCAGCCAGCCAGCCAGGCCAGCCAGCCAGCCCAGCCAGCCAAGCCAGCCAGCCACCCAGCCACCCAAGACAGCTAAACCAGCCAGCCTGCCAAGCCAGCCAAGCCAGCCTGCCAGCCAGGCCAGCCAAGCCAGCCAAGCCAATCAAGCCAGCCAGCCAGCCCAGCCAGCCAAGCCAGCCAGCCAGCCCAGCCAGCCCAGCCAGCCAGCCAACCCAGCCACCACAGCCAGCCCAGCCAGCCACACAAGCCAGCCAAATCTGCCAGCCAGCCAAGCCAGCCAAGGCAGCCATGCCAGCCAGCCAGCCAAGACAGCCAAGACAGCCAGCCAGCCAAGCCAGCCAAGCCAGCCAAGCCAGTCAGCCAGCCAAGCCAGCCAAGCCAGCCAAGCCAGTCAAGCCAGTCAAGCCAGTCAGCTGGCCAAGCCAGCCAAGCAAGCCAGCAAGCCAACCAGCCAAGCCAGCCAGCCAAACCAGCCAAGCCACCCAGCCAGCCAAGCCACCCAAGACACCCAGCCAGCCAGCCAGCCGAACCAGCCAAGCCACCCAGCCAGCCAAGCCAGCCAAGCAAGCCAGCCAAGCCAGCCAAGCCAGGAACCAGCCAAGCCAGCCAAGCCAGCCAAGCCTGACAAGCCAGCCAGCCAGCCAAGCCTGCAAAGCCAGCCAGCCAGCAAAGCCAGCCAAGTCAGCCTGCCAAGCCAGCCAAGACAGAGAGCAAGCCAAGCCAGCCAAGCCAGCTAGCCAAGCCAGCTAGCCAAGCCAGCCAAGGCAGCCAAGCCAGTCAGCCAGCCAAGCTAGCCAAGCCAGGCAGCCATCCAAGCCAGCCAGCCATCCAAGCCAATGAAGCCAGCCAGCCAGCCAAGACACCCAAGCCAGCCAAGCCAGCCAACTCAGCCAGCCAGCCAAGCCAGCCAAGCCAGCCAGCCAGTCAAGCCTGCCAAGCCAGCCAGCCACCCAGCCACCCAAGACAGCTAAACCAGCCAGCCAAGCAAGCCAGCCAAGCCAGCCAAGCCAGGAGCCAGCCAAGCCAGCCAAGCCAGCCAAGCCTGCCAAGCCAGCCAGCCAGCCAAGCCTGCAAAGCCAGCCCGCCAGCAAAGCCAGCCAAGTCAGCCTGCCAAGCCAGCCAAGACAGCCAGCAAGCCAAGCCAGCCAAGCCAGCTAGCCAAGCCAGCTAGCCAAGCCAGCCAAGCCAGCCAGCCAAGCCAGCCAAGCCAGCCAAGGCAGCCAAGCCAGTCAGCCAGCCAAGCTAGCCAAGCCAGGCAGCCATCCAAGCCAGCCAGCCATCCAAGCCAATGAAGCCAGCCAGCCAGCCAAGACACCCAAGCCAGCCAAGCCAGCCAACTCAGCCAGCTAGCCAAGCCAGCCAAGCCAGCCAGACAGTCAAGCCAGCCAAGCCAGCCAGCCAACCAAGCCAGCTAAACCAGCCAGCCTGCCAAGCCAGCCAAGCCAGCCAGCCAGCCAGCCAGGCCAGCCAGCCAGCCCAGCCAGCCAAGCCAGCCAGCCACCCAGCCACCCAAGACAGCTAAACCAGCCAGCCTGTCAAGCCAGCCAAGCCAGCCAGCCAGCCAGGCCAGCCAAGCCAGCCAAGCCAATCAAGCCAGCCAGCCAGCCCAGCCAGCCAAGCCAGCCAGCCAGCCCAGCCAGCCCAGCCAGCCAGCCAACCCAGCCACCGCAGCCAGCCCAGCCAGCCACACAAGCCAGCCAAGTCAGCCAGCCAGCCAAGCCAGCCAAGCCAGCCATGCCAGCCAGCCAGCCAAGACAGCCAAGACAGCCAGCCAGCCAAGCCAGCCAAGCCAGCCAAGCCAGTCAGCCAGCCAAGCCAGCCAAGCCAGCCAAGCCAGTCAAGCCAGTCAAGCCAGTCAGCCAGCCAAGCCAGCCAAGCCAGCCAAGCCAGCCAGCCAGCCGAGACAGCCAAGCCAGCCAGCCAGCCAAGCCAGCCAAGCAAGCCAGCAAGCCAGCCAGCCAAGCCAGCCAGCCAAACCAACCAAGCCACCTAGCCAGCCAAGCCACCCAAGTCACCCAGCCAGCCATCCAGCCAAGCCAGCCAAGCCACCCAGCCAGCCAAGCCAGCCAAGCAAGCCAGCCAAGCCAGCCAAGCCAGGAGCCAGCCAAGCCGGCCAAGCCAGCCAAGCCTGCCAAGCCTGCCAAGCCAGCCAGCCAGCGAAGCCTGCAAAGCCAGCCCGCCAGCAAAGCCAGCCAAGTCAGCCTGCCAAGCCAGCCAAGACAGCCAGCAAGCCAAGCCAGCCAAGCCAGCCAGCCAAGCCAGCTAGCCAGACTGCCAGCTAGCCAAGCCACCCAAGACAGCCAGCCAGCTAAGCCAGCCAAGCCAGCCAGCCAGCCAAGCCGTCCAAGCCAGCCAGCCAGCCAAGCCAGCAAGCCAGCCAGTCAAGCCATCTAACCAGCCAGCCAGCCAGCCAGCCGAGCCAGACAGCCAGCAAAGCCAGCCAAGTCAGGGAGCCATCCAGCCAGGCAAGCCAGCCAATCAAGCCAGCCAGCCAGCCAGCAAAGCCAGCCAGCCAGCCAAGCCAGCCGAGCCAGTCAAGCTAGCCAGCCACCCAAGCCAGCCGAGCCAGTCAAGCTAGCCAGCCACCCAGCCAGCCAAGCCAGTAAAGCCAGCCAGCCAGCCAAGCCAGCCAAGCCAGGCAAGCCAGCCAGCCAGCCAAGCCAGGCAGCCAGTGAAGCCAGCCAAGCCAGCCAAGCCAGCCAAGCCAGCCAGCCAGCCAGCCAAACCACCCAGCCAGCCAGCCAGCCAACCCAGCCGGCCAGCCAAGCCAGCCAAGCCAGCCAAGCCAGCCAGCCCACCAAGCCAGCCAAGCCAGCCAGCCAGCGAAGACGGCCGGCCAGCCACGGCGGCCAAGCCACCCGGCCAGCCAAGCCAGCCAAGCCACCTGGCCAGCGAAGCCAGCCAAACCACCAGGCCAGCAAAGCCAGCCAAGCCAGCCAAGACAGCCAGCCAGACAAGCCAGCCAAGCCAGCCAACCAGCCAAGACAGCCAGCCAACGAGCCAAGACAGCCAGCCAGCCAACCAGCCAAGACACCCAGCCAAGCCAGCCAAGCCACCCAACCAGCCAAGTCAGCCAAGCCGGCCAAGCCAGCCAGCCAGCCATGCCAGCCATGCCAGTCAGCCAGCCAAGGCAGCCAAACCAACCAGCCAGCCAAGCCAGCAAAGCCAGGCAGCCAGCCAAGCCAGCCAAGCCAGCCAAGCCATCCAAGCCGGCCAGCAGAGCCAGCCAGCCAGCCAAGCCAGCGAAGCCAGCCAAGCCAGCCATCCGGCCAAGCCAGCCAAGCCAACAAGCCAGCCAAGCCGGCCAAGCCAGCCAGCCAGCCAAGCCAGCCAAGCAAGGCAGCCAAGCCAGCCAAGCCAGGAGCCAGCCAAGCCAGCCAAGCCACCCAGCCAGCCCAGACAGCCAAGCCAGGCAGCCAGCCAGCCAGCCAAGCCAGCCAAGCCAGCCAGCAAGCCAAGCCAGCCAAGCCAGCCAGCCAGCCAGCCCAGCCAGCCAAGCCAGCCAGCCAGCCCAGCCAGCCCAGCCAGCCAGCCAACCCAGCCACCGCAGCCAGCCCAGCCAGCCACACAAGCCAGCCAAGTCAGCCAGCCAGCCAAGCCAGCCAAGCCAGCCATGCCAGCCAGCCAGCCAAGACAGCCAAGACAGCCAGCCAGCCAAGCCAGCCAAGCCAGCCAAGCCAGTCAGCCAGCCAAGCCAGCCAAGCCAGCCAAGCCAGTCAAGCCAGTCAAGCCAGTCAGCCAGCCAAGCCAGCCAAGCCAGCCAAGCCAGCCAGCCAGCCGAGACAGCCAAGCCAGCCAGCCAGCCAAGCCAGCCAAGCAAGCCAGCAAGCCAGCCAGCCAAGCCAGCCAGCCAAACCAACCAAGCCACCTAGCCAGCCAAGCCACCCAAGTCACCCAGCCAGCCATCCAGCCAAGCCAGCCAAGCCACCCAGCCAGCCAAGCCAGCCAAGCAAGCCAGCCAAGCCAGCCAAGCCAGGAGCCAGCCAAGCCGGCCAAGCCAGCCAAGCCTGCCAAGCCAGCCAGCCAGCCAAGCCTGCAAAGCCAGCCAGCCAGCAAAGCCAGCCAAGTCAGCCTGCCAAGCCAGCCAAGACAGCCAGCAAGCCAAGCCAGCCAAGCCAGCTAGCCAAGCCAGCTAGCCAAGCCATCCAAGCCAACCAGCCAAGCCAGCCAAGCCTGCCAAGCCAGCCAAGCCAGCCAAGGCAGCCAAGCCAGTCAGCCAGCCAAGCTAGCCAAGCCAGGCAGCCATCCAAGCCAGCCAGCCATCCAAGCCAATGAAGCCAGCCAGCCAGCCAAGACACCCAAGCCAGCCAAGACAGCCAACTCAGCCAGCCAGCCAAGCCAGCCAAGCCATCCAGCCAGTCAAGCCAGCCAAGCCAGCCAGCCAACCAAGCCAGCTAAACCAGCCAGCCTGCCAAGCCAGCCAAGCCAGCCAGCCAGCCAGGCCAGCCAGCCAGCCCATCCAGCCAAGCCAGCCAAGCCAGCCAGCCACCCAGCCACCCAAGACAGCTAAACCAGCCAGCCTGCCAAGCCAGCCAGCCAGCCATGCGAGCCAAGCCAGCCAAGCCATTCAAGCCAGCCAGCCAGCCCAGCCAGCCAAGCCAGCCAGCCAGCCCAGCCAGCCCAGCCAGCCCAGCCAGCCAGCCAACCCAGCCACCGCAGCCAGCCCAGCCAGCCACACAAGCCAGCCAAGTCAGCCAGCCAGCCAAGCCAGCCAAGCCAGCCAGCCAAGCCAGCCAAGCCAGCCAGCCAGCCAAGCCAGCCAGCCAGCCAAGCCAGCCAAGCCAGCCAAGCCAACTGAGCCAGCCAAGCCAGTCAGCCAAGCCAGGCAAGCCAGCAAATTCAGCCAGCCAGCCAAGCCAGCCAAGCCAGCCCAGCCAGCCAGCCAAGCCATCCAAGCCAGCCAGCCAGCCAGCCCAGCCAGCCAAGCCAGCCCAGCCAGCCAACCAAGCCAGCTAGCCAGCCAAGCCAGCCAAGCCAGCCAGCCATCCAAGCCAACCAAGCCAGCCAGCCAAGCCACCCAGCCAGCCAAGCCAGCCAATCCAGCCAAGCCAGCTGGAAAGAGAGAGAGAGAAAAGGAAGGAAGGAAGGAAGGAAGGAAGGAAGGAAGGAAGGAAGGAAGGAAGGAAAGAAGGAGGAAGGAAGGAAGGGGAGAGAGAAAGAGGGAGATTGGGAGAGAAAGAGAGGGAGAGAGAGAGAAAGAAAGGAAAGGAAGGAAGGAAGGAAGGAAGGAAGGAAAGAAGGCAGGAAGCAAGGTGATGAGGAAGGAAGGAAGGAAAGAAGGAGGAAGGAAGGAAGGGGAGAGAGAAAGAGTGAGATTGGGAGAGAAAGAGAGGGAGAGAGAGAGAAAGAAAGGAAAGGAAGGAAGGAAGGAAGGAAGGAAGGAAAGAAAGAGAGAAAGAAAGAAAGAAGAAGAGAAAGAAAGAAGAATGTAAGGAAGGAAGGAGAGAAAGAAAGGAAGAAGGAAGGAAGGAGAGAGAGAAAGAAGAAAGAAAGAGAAAAAAGAAGGAAGGAAGAAGAGAGAGAAAGAAAGGAAGAAAGAAGGAAGGAGAGACAGGGAAAGAAAGGAAGAAAGAAGAAAGAAAGATAAAGAAAGAAAGAGGAGCAAATGTACACTGCTCAGGAATCTCCTTTTCCTGTGGCCGGGGCAAGATTCTTTGCATTTTTCTCTGTAAGGAAAAAACAAAACCACACACACACACTACACACACACAGCAATAAGCTTTCATCCAGCCGGCACAAGACAGTTTCCTAGAGAATCTGTACACAGTCATGGTGCTGGAGTCTCAATTTCAGATTGGGTTAAAGTGCCCTGCAAACCAGCATTTGCAGAGGCCATGGGAGAGGTTACTGGGGAATTAAGAGCTGCAGAGATGAGGGTCTCCGGCCATCACCTTTGCAGCTGCAGGAGAGAGGAGGTGATTAGGGAATCTCCGTGTTCCCTTCTGAGCCTGGCAGGTGTGTTGTCCCCACCCTGTCTCCAGCACCGCACAGTTCATTGCAATGCAGGCCCTGCTTTCGGGTTTAGCAAAGGTAACTCCCCCTGGCACCCCCAGGCTTCTGCTTCCAGCACAGCGACTGCGACGTGGTGTTTGCTCCTCGGTCCTCATACAGAATTTGCCCACCTCAACTCAATCTTCCTCTCCCGGCGGTACCATTAATATTTTAATTTAATCAGAATTTCTGGGACTGGCTTGCCATCCTGAACAACCTAGTTACCTGTCAGCCTCTATCAGCTTGTCATATTAGAGAGGATTGTCCTGGGAATCTAATCTGCTTTAAATGATTTCATGGGGTGTTGGTCTATAAATCATCTCGACGCAGGCCTGACAACGTGAAGGCTTCAGTGGGTAAACAAACCACACTTGTTTTATTTTCAGCAGGCACAGACTTTGCTTTATCAACTTCTTATTGATTTTCGTGCTCCAAGAGGTCAAAAAAATGTTTTTGCTTCTCCTTTACATACAAAAACATTATTCGTAGAAGAGCTGTGGGCAGGCAACTCTCATTAACATAAGTTCTGAGATTTGCAGGTGAGCTGGCTGGTTGGAGAAACGACACACACCTGTTTCAGCCAAGCCCCTGGTGGAGTTTGGAGTTTCCAAAATGTTGACTTTTCCTCTTTCTGGTCAAAATAGAAATTATATGGATATTAAGGAGCCCCAAGTGTCTTCAGGGATGTTGAGGAACCCTGGACATACAAATACACACACACACACACACACACACACACACACACGTACACACACTCACCACCCCATGCCAAGAAGATACACAAAAAACTCACTCACCTTTCACTTGAGTTTGCAAATTTGGAGCTGACTTAATGAAGGAAAGAAAAATTGCAGCTACGAAGTAACACAGAGCCAATGAAAAGACAAAAACCACCATTAGATTTTCTTCTTTTCTAAAGTTTTATTTTATTTTTAAGAGTCAACGTTCGGATCAGGCGCAGTGGCTCACGCTTGTAATCCCAGCGCTTTGGGAGGCTGAGGTGGGAGAATCACAAGGCCAGAAGTTCAAGACCAGTCTGGGCAACATAGCAAGATCCCATCTCTTAAAAAAAAAAGTACAAAAGTTAGCTGGACCTACTGGTGCAGACCTGTATTTCCAGCTACTGGGGAGGCTGAGGTGGAAGGATGGTTTGAGTCCAGGAGGTTAAGGCTGCACTGAGCCATGATTGCATCACTGCACACTCCAGCTTAGGCAACAGAGCAAGACCCTGTCTCAAGAAAAAAACTCCATAATGATTGTACACATTTATGACATATAATATACTGTTTCCAAGCACGTGTATATCATGTAATGACACCTCATGGTAATTATCAGATCCAGCTGCTCAGAAATCTCATTTTCCGGTGGCTGGGGAATACGCATTTTTTTTTTTTTTTTTTTTTGAGACAGAGTTTCGCTCTTGTCACCCAGGCTGGAGTGCAATGGAATGATCTTGGCTCACTGCAAACTCCGCCTCCCGGGTTCAAGCGGTTCTCCTGCCTCAGCCTCCCCAGTAGCTGGGATTACAGGCATGTGCCACCACGCCTGGTTCATTTTGTATTTTCAGTAGAGACTGGGTTTCATCGTGCTGGCCAGGCTGGTCTCGAACTCCTGACCTCAAGTGATCCACCCACCTCAGCCTCCCAAAGTGCTGGGATTACAGGCGTGAGCCACCGAGCCTGGCCAACCCTCTCCTCTTTCAGGGGCTTAAATAAAATTTGCTTTTCTCCCCAAAGGCGGGCCCCCACCCCATTCAGCCCAGTTTCAAAGGGTGGAGTGTAAACGGTGGGTTGCCCAATTCCTGCTGCCGTGAAGTACTTCAGCTTACAGCGGAAAGCCGGGCGCAGACACCATGCTTTATTTCTATTTCCACGAACAAGAAGCGTCTCTTGCAGTCTGCAATATTTGTCGTCAAAAATTTCACTGGCTGTTGTATCAAATCTGCCACCTCTATAGGGTGTGATCATTGACAATTTTTTGTTACATCCCGATGGCCGTTTTTCCTGGACCGTTTTCTTCCTTTCATGGGTGAAGCAAAACTCCTTGGTAGACTTTTTTTTTTTTTTTTTTGAGACAGAGTCTCGCTCTGTCGCTCTGTTGCCCAGGCTGGAGTGCAGTGGTGCGATCTCGACTCACTGCAACCTCCACCTCCCGGGTTCACACCATTCTCCTGCCTCAGCCTCCCCAGTAGCTCGGACTACAGGCACCCACCACCATGTCCACCTAATTTTTTGTATTTTTAGTGGAGACAGGATTTCACCGTTTTAGCCAGGATGGTCTCGTATCCTGACCTCGTGATCCGCCCGCCTCGGCCTCCCAAAGTTCTGGGATTACACGTGTGAGCCACCGCACCAGGCCAATGTGATGATTATGGATATACCCTGATCATCAGCAGGAGGAAATGAAGAGGTATTGGTTAAAAATACAAAGTTGCAGTTACGCAGGATGAATAAGTACTAATTTGTAACAATTCAGTATGAAACAGTGTGACCGTGGTTAACAAGGCTCTGCTCTATGCCTGACATCTGAGAACAGAGGAATTGAAGTCTGAACTTTGTCCAGAAGAGGATGGCTTTGCAGGCTTTGCTGAGCATGCTGAATTCACGGTTTCCGGGTCAGCCCCTGGGCTGCCCAGGGACAGGGTGGAAACCCTGCCCCAGAAAGTCCAGGAGCCAGGAACCTGCTTAGAGACACATTTCAACAAGGAAAACCACACTCAGGCCGGCCTCCTTAAAAACACATAGGCCCGGCGTGGTGGCTCAAGCCTGTAATTCCAGCACTTTGGGAGGCTGAGGCAGGTGGATTGCCTGAGTTCAGGAGTTCGAGGCTGCGGTGAGCTATGATTGCACTCCAGCCTGGGCAACAGAGTGAGACCCTGTCTCAAAGAAATAAACAAATAAATGAATAAGCAAGCAAGCAATTTTTAAGTTGAACATCAGTTCTCTACTTGACTCTAGAGTTAAATAGGCATCCGGTTGCTTTTTGTGTTTATTTTTATATTCACTGCTTTTGCCTGCAACTGTGTTTCTGGTTCTAAGTAAATATAACGTATGCTACTGGTACACATACGTCTTAGGCAACATATGTTTCATTCACTGGATTGTTAGCTCTGTTTTGTTTTGTCACTACTTTAGTCCCAGTACCAATAACTGTGCCAGGCACAAAGTAGGTGTTTAGCTAATATTGTTAAATGAAGAAATACAAATATTTGATTTTATCACTTGAATCCTCATTTATTAGTACTGCACTATCTTTTCTTAGCTGTTTTTGTGAACATATGTGTGCTGCTTTTTTACCCTAACTAGATTGGAAGTACATTGTGGGTAGAAACTTGGTTTTATTTGTTTTTCCTATATTCTCCTTTACAGCAGTTTAGACCTGATGGGAAGTAGGTATTTCCCAAACACGTGATTGAACTGAAATACATTGGTAGATTTCATTTTATCAGGAGACTGCCAAAAGTATAGTCATAAATAAGGAATTTGGAAGAGAATTAAAAAGCTAGTATGTACTCATCTGTCAGCTTGAAGGCCTGTATAAGACTCCATACTTCTGTGGAGTAAAAAGGGTAGGGTTCTGGGGCTGGACGCGGTAGTTCACACCTGTAATCCCAACACTTTGGGGAAAAAAAGAGGGTTCTGGGACTATTCTTTGCTTCTTCTTCTTTTTTTTTTTTTTTTGAGACAGTTTTGCTCTGTCATTCAGGCTGGAATGCAGTGGCATGATTTCGACTCACCACAACCTCTACCTCAGGTTCAAGCAGTTCTCCTGCCTGAGCCTCCTGAGTAGCTGGGATTACAGGTGCTTGCGACCACACCTGGCTAATTTTTTTATATTTTTAGTAGAGATGGGGGTTTTACCATGTTGGCCAGGCTGGTTAAGAACTCCTGACCTCAAGTGATGCGCCCATCTCGGCCTCCCAAAGTGCTAGGATTACAGGCGTGAGCCACTGCGCCCGGCCTCTGGGACTGTTCTTTTCCTTGCTCCTTAACAGACTATTTCCTGCTTTTTGTTTTGTTTTGTTTTGCTTTGCTTTGTTTTTTGTTTTTGGCCTTCTAACTGTGTTACAAATGGTTTAAGTCAGTGGTTCTCCAAGGGTGGTCCCAGATCAGCAGCATTATCACCTGGGTACTTACTAGAAATGCAAATTCTTGGGCCCCACTCCAGACCTACTGAATGAGCAACTCTGAGGGTAGAACCTAAAAAATTGTGTTTTAACAAGTCATCTGGGTGATTCTGATGGTAAAGTTTGATGTCACCAAATGATAATGATGCTTTTTTTTTTTAATTGAGATGGAGTCTTGCTCTGTCGCCCAGTCTGGAGTGCAGTGGCGTGATCTTGGTTTACTGCAACTTCCACCTCCCAGGTTCAAGCAATTCTCCTGTCTCAGCCTCCTGAGTAGCTGGGACTACAGGCACACGCCACCATGTCTGGCTAATTTTTGTATTTTTAGTAGAGATGGGGTTTCATCATACTGGTCAGGCTGGTCTCAAACTCCTGACCTCAGGTGATCCACCTGTCTCGGTCTCCCAAAGTGCTGGGATTACAGGCATGAACCACTGTGCCTAGCCTGATAAAGACACTGTCTTTAAGAGAGAGGGCTAGAGGCAGTGATTATGTGCCAGAGAAAACTAGCAGCCTGGATTTAAGAGGATAATATAATCCAAAGCTTTTCAGAGGGAATAGATACAGTTTATAGAAGGCATTAAGACATAAAGCAGATTATTGAAACTTCACTGTACACTGTAACCGTATAATTGACTTTTACTTATATATTTCCTCTTTTACTTTGAAGTTTGTGTTCAAATCAAAAGATGAGAACCTTAAATTAATCAAGTTTTATAATATTTTATTTTAGATTTTTGTAAAAGTGAATGCTTTTTATATTCCATACCAAGTAACTGAAAAGCTACTGAAAAGTGTCCAACCCAAGAATTTTGTGTATTTTTCATTTTGAATATACTTCTCAGTGATTTCAATTTTGAATCCTAGCCCTTTTAAATTTCAGAATGCACAGTAGTTTAAAATGGCTTCAATAAGGCTGGGCGCGGTGGCTCGCACCTGTAATCCCAGGGCTCAGGGAGACCGAGGTGGGTGGATCACGAGGTCAGGAGTTTGAGAACAGCCTGACCAAGTGGTAAAACCCTGTCTCTACTAAAAATACAAAAATTAGCTGGGCATAGTGGTGCGCACCTGTAATCCCAGCTACTCAGGAGGCTGAGGTAGGAGAATTACTTCGACCCCGGGAGGCTGAAGTTGCAGTGAGCCGAAATCGCACCACTGTACTACAGCCTGGGCGACAGAGTGAGAATCCGTCTCAAAAGAAAAAAAAAAGGGTGGTGGGGCTTTAATAAATTAAGTGGTACATTTTAAATATTTTAATTGTTTATTAGATATTACGTATGCAGATAAACCTGTTTAAATATAGAAGATTTATATTCCTATTTACATATATCCTTTTGACAAATTAGAATTGAAAATAATATAAAAATAAATTTTCAGCTGGGCACGGTGGCTCACGCCTGTAATCCCAGCATTTTGGGAGGCCGGGGCGGGCGGATCACGAGGTCAGGAGATTGAGACCACGGTAAAACCCCGTCTCTACTAAAAATACAAAAAATTAGCTGGGTGCAGTGGCGGGCGCCTGTAGTCCCAGCTACTCAGGAGGCTGAGGCAAGAGAATGGCGTGAACCCGGGAAGCGGAGCTTGCAGTGAGCTGAGATGGTGCCACTGCACTCCAGCCTGGGCAACAGAGTGAGACTCCATCTCAAAAAAAATAAATATATAAAATAAAAAATTAAATAAAAAAAAAATTTTCTTTCTGTCATGCAGACTTAAATAGTAAAATATCTTCCTTCTATTATTTTTATCTTTTTTGTTTATGATGGTTAGGAAGTGAATATCTAATTTTCTATACTGTGAAAAATACACATAAAGTATCATGGAAGTTCAACATTCATTTTCCTTGAAAATAATTCCAAAGTTTTCTTCTCCAGAAATATATCCTGTTATCATTAAGTTTAGTTGTACTGATAAATGGCAGTTGATGATTTGTAAGTTTTTAAACATATTTATTCATAACACTTATTTGTTTTTCTTTTTGAGACGGAGTCTCACTCTGTTGCCCAGGCTGGAGTGCAGTGGTGTGGTCTCGGCTCACTGCAACCTCCACCTCCTGGGTTCAAGCAGTTCTCTGCCTCAGCCTCTCAAGTAGCTGGGATTACAGGCACCTGCCACCACGACCGGCTAATTTTTTTTTGTATTTTTAGTAGAGATGGGGTTTCACCATCTTGGCCAGGCTGGTCTTGAACTCCTGACCTCGTGATCCACCCGCCTCGGCCTCCCAAAGTGCTAGGATTACAGGGGTGAGCCACCACGCCCTGCCTTTTTTTTTTTTTTTTTAAAGATGGAATCTCACCGTGTCGCCCAGGCTGGAGTGCAGTGGTGCGATCTCTGCACACTGCAACCTCCGTCTCCCGGGTTTGAGTAATTCTTCTGTCTCAGCCTTCCGAGTAGCTGTGAATACAGTGCCTGGCTGATTTTTGTATGTTTAGTGGAGACAGGGTTTCACTGTGTTGGCCAGGCTGGTCTCGAACTCCTGACCTCAGGTGATCCCCCCGCCTCAGCCTCCCAAAGTTCTGGGATTACAGGTGTGAGCCCCTGTGTCCGACCTATTTTCCTCTTTTTCTTTTTACTTTTTCCCTTCCCTTTATTTCTTCCTTTCACTGTTTTCATCTTTTATGTCTCTCACCCTCGCCCTTCCTCAGTTCAATTCAAAGAGCAATATACTGCCATATCTGGAGAATTTTTAGCTGGAATTTAATCTTTATTTTAAAAGAGTAAGAATTTATACCAATTATTATGTTTTCGACTGAGGTCGTTTTACAGAAGGAATTCTTTTTTTTATGTAGGAATGTGTTTTAAGACTTTTTGTTTCTAATGTCTTAGTTTTCTAGAGAAAAAAAGGTAAAAGATTGACATTATTCTCATAGTCTTTTACTCTTTTCTCAAAGGTCTTAGTTCAGGTCCTAATTTTCTTTCAATTATACTCATTTATTTAACCAGTCTCCTTTAGGTGGTCATTTGGGTTGTATACATATTCTTGTCTGTGTTTTATCAGTAATGTATTATATAATTTCATGTATGTACAAATATATATTTGAAGGATAACATTCTAAAATTGCTGAGTTAAAGGGTATATGCATTTATAAACTTGACAGATATTACCAGTTGTCCTCTATAAAGTGAAACTGGTTTATATCACCACAGCTAACATATAAATGTCTGTTTTCTACCATATTATTAAGTTACTGAACTTTATCCA
This sequence comes from Homo sapiens, assembly GCF_000001405.40. Lineage (NCBI taxonomy): Eukaryota > Metazoa > Chordata > Mammalia > Primates > Hominidae > Homo > Homo sapiens. The sequence goes on from NT_187648.1 coordinate 119,596, forward strand.
TCTGATGGAAAAGGAGAAATCTGATTGTACTTTATTTTTTATATTTTTAATATTTTTATGAGCCGTCTTGGCATGTTGGCCAGGATGGTCTCAAACTCCAGCCTCAAGCAATCCTCTCACCTCAGTCTCCCAAAGTTCTGGGACTACAGGCATTAGCTACCATGCCTGGCCCTGATTACCACCCCGCCACCCACCCCCCACCCCCTTTTTTTTTTTTTTTTTTTTTTTTTTTGAGACAAGGTCTCACTCTGTCACCCATGTTAGAGTGTGGTGGTGTGATCACTGCTCACTGCAGCCTTGGCCTCCTGGGCTGAGGTGATTCTCCTGTCTCAGCCTCCCAAGTAGCTGGGACCACAGACACATGCCACCATGCCTGGCTGATTTTTTAAATTATTTGTAGGGAAGTGGTCTCGCTATGTTGCACAGGCTAGGCTCAAACTCCTGAGCTCAAGTTATCCTCCCACCTCGGCCTCCCAAAGTGCTGTAATTACAGGACTGAGCCACTGTGCCCAGCCTCTGATTATACTTTTAATTGTAACTTCTCTTATGCTTGAAGTTGAACATATACAGTAAAGACTTTACGGTATTGTAGGCTGAAGTTTCAGAATCATCCAGGACCAATGATGTTAGCAGAAATGCAAAACTAGCCAAGGAGTATCGAGAGGACAAAATTGATAATTGATATTGTTATTACCTTCAAAGTTTGATTGCATTGATTAGCTTATTATTTTTATTAAAATCATTTTAAAGAGCATATAAAGTTCTATGCCAAAGCATGTTTGGCCTGACAAGTTGGGCTGTCACTTCCTTTTGACAAGACTTTCATTTTTATCAGCTTTAAATGCATGTGTCATTACTATTCTGGTTAGGTAACATAATTATCCCACTGCAGAATATATAATTTCAAAAGAGTCTTGTGGATATTTGATGCCTTTTCCTCTGAAAACAATTGAATTGGGATTTTCAGACCACTTTTATTTCAGTAAGATAAATGTAATCCTTCCTTTAATTGTAATGTAAAATTTAAGAGCATATTGAAATGAAAAGAAAAGCTCAACACTACCTATATTTTGAAAGTTATAAGAGACTAGATAAGTTGGATTTTATGTTTCTTGTGGTACAGAATAGAAACAAAGGTCATTCAAACTAAGTTTGAATGAGAATTAAGTTTAATGGCTCACTTGCTAAACCTGAGTTGCACAATCCTCACAATTCCTTAGGGATGTGGCAAGGTCATCCTTAAATGGAAAGTTCTTGCTCACTTAATGGAAAGCACTGTAGATACATAAATAACATTGTTACCTGTCTTAGTGGGTCAGTATAAAAGACGGGGGTGGTGGTATATGTGAGAATAGTGAAATTTATAGCTAGTTTTGAGGCCCTTGTGACTTTTAAGAGGTATTATGAGTCACTTTAACAAGTTAGTGTTTGTGACATAGTTTCAATTTCTTATGTGAAAGATAGTATTTCAGTTGTAAATGTTCTCTTAATATTCTGGAGAGCTACTCTTTCCTAGCCCATCGGTTTTACTGACTTTAAAAGTTGTTTACAGTTTGTTTCATGTTCAAATGTAGGGTTTTAGTAATTCCTTGGGGTGGGGGGCAGGAATGGGCAGAAGGCCATTGTCTCTAATTTTCCTTTTCCCAACTTTCACTTTCTTTTTTCTATGGATTACATGTCAAGGTGGGTGAGAAAAATGGTGGGGATTGAGAAAAGGGAGCAATTTATTTTTTGTAGGGGAGGTCCAAAATAAAGTCACTTAAGGAATCTGTCATAAAATTTAAATATATGATGAAGCTTGTGCAAGGGGAATATAAGAACTGATTTTACTTTAACCCTTCCTGCTTTATAAAAAGATCTTGTTGATGGCAAAAAGACAAACGCTTTAGCAAACTGTACTGTACACCTTGCATTTGTTTGTATTAATATTAGTTGTTTTATTTTTTAATATGGAGTCTCACTCTGTTACCCAGGATGGAGTGCAGTGGCGCAATCTCGGCTCACTGCAACCCCTGCCTCCTGGGTTCAAGCAATTCTTCTGCCTCAGCCTCCCGAGTAGCTGGGATTATAGGTGCCATCAGGCCCGGCTAATTTTTGTATTTTTAGTAGAGACAGGGTTTCACCATGTTGGTCAGGCTGGTCTTGAACTCTTGACCTCAAGTGATCCACCTGCCTCAGCCTCCCAAAGTGCTGGGATTACAGGTGTGAGCCACCGCACCCGGCAGTATTAGTTGTTTTATATTGTAGACTCTTAAATGATGTGTACTATGTGTTGTAAAATCCCCACCCTGAAGTACAATGCATTTAGATGTCCCCCCGCCCTTTTTAACTTAAATCCTTTTTCCCCCTTGCAGTCAGTGCATTTTTATATTTCTACATGCTTTGTGAGAAATGTGTAAAGGAAATATTTTTGCATCTAATTGTTCTAACTTCCAAAGGTTCTTTACTGAGTTAAAAAAAACTGGTTTTTTTTTGGTCTAAACTGAATTTTGTCTGTCTTTCCCCTACTCAGGCCCAGATTACCTTTCTACAGGGAGAAAGGAAGGGCCAAGAAAATTTGAAGAAGGATCTTGTGAGGAGGATCAAAATGTTGGAGTATGCTCTTGAACAGGAAAGGTAATTCAGTAAAATGAAAAGTGGTGTTCTTTTTTGTTTGTTTTGAGATGGAGTTTCATTCTCGTTGCCCAGGCTGGGGTGCAATGGTGCGATCTTGGCTCACCGCAACCTCCACCACCTGGTTCAAGCAATTCTCCCGCCTCAGCCTCCTCAGTAGCTGGGATTATAGGCATGCACCACCACACCCAACTAATTTTGTATTTTTAGTAGAGACGGGGTTTCTCCATGTTGGTCAGGCTGGTCTCGAACTCCTGACCTCAGGTGATCTGCCCACCTCGGCCTCCCAAAGTGCTGGGATTACAGGTGTGAGCCACTGGGCCTGGCCAAAATGGTGGTCTCTTAAATGTTGGAATAATTTTTTCATCATTCCTAAAATAAATTGAAATGTTAATACTGCTTGAGTTCAGGTGTGTCTGTAGTAAACATTTGTATGAATGGTTGTAATATGTTAATTTTATTATGAATAGTTTAATAATGATCAAAAAACTGATTTATATGATTTCTCAAAAATTAGCAACATTTTTTTCCTATTCTGCCTGTTTTGAAGAAGCAGATGTGCTCCCTGAGCTGTTAATACCCATTCATTTTAAAGTTGAAATAGTTTTTAATTTTTAAAGGAGGTTTCTATAATGTTTACTCCTTTTCCTGTCATTTAATATTATTCAATTTGATGTATTTTCTTTAGAAAAAAAATTGTTCTAGCAGACTATGTTAAGATTCTATATAGACTTTTTTTTTTTTGAAACGGAGTCTCACTCTGTTGCCCATGCTGGAGTGAGGTGGTGCAATCTCGGTTCACTGCAAGCTCCACCTCCCAGGTTCATGCCATTCTCCTGCCTCAGCCTCCCAAGTAGCTGGGACTACAGGTGTCCGCCACCACACCTGGCTAATTTTTTTGTATTTTTAGTAGAGATGGGGTTTCACCATGTTAGCCAGGATGGTCTCGATCTCCTGACCTCGTGATCCCCCAATCTTGGCCTCCCAAAGTGCTGGGATAACAGGCGTGAGCCACCGCGCCCAGCCTATAGACTTTTTTTGTGTATTTTGTTTCTTTGCTGTCTGCCGTTACAATCTGTCCAGAAGCTTGTCTTACCTTTCTATTTTGCTAGTGTCTAAGATACTCCAGTAACTAAATTTGGGTCACAAGTAAAGGAAAATAGGTCATGAGTGAGATTTTTAGATGTTATATGAGTTATTTATTTGCTTTAATGAATGGGCCTTGGATTTTTTTGTCGACAATCTGAGTTCATTTGTTTAAGATAACTGAGTACTTATAGGTGATATTGGAATTATCTATTTTGCTACTTTCTTGCTTTGTTTTTAATGATGCTTGTTTTGTTTTTCTCTTTTTGAAGTTGGTGAATGGGATATTTGCAATAAAATAGCATTTAGATGCAATTAGATAAATAGATGATATTTATGAGTAATGAGAAACAGATAAAATTTTATTAGAACTTATGTTCATCAACATGTAGAATGGTGTAAGAGATTGAAAATAGGTTGACCTCTTAGTGAAAAATACCTGTTTCTTTTCATACTTTGGGAAAGTTGATGAAAAGCTGTATCAGGGACATGGAAAGAAAAAAACATTTTTAGGCTGGGCGTTGTGGCTCACGCCTGTAAACCCAGCACTTTGGGAGGCTGAGGTGGGCAGATCACAAGGTCAGATCAAGACCATACTGGCTAACACGGTGAAACCCCGTCTCTACTAAAAATATAAAAAAATTAGCCAGGCATGGTGGCGGGCACCTGTAGTCCCAGCTACTTGGGAGGCTAAGCAGGAAAATGGTGTGAACCCAGGAGGCGGAGCTTGCAGTGAGCCGAGATCACACCACTGCACTCCAGCCTGGGCGACAGAGCAAGACTCCATCTCAAAAAAAATAAAAAAAATAAAAAATAAAAAACATTTTTAAAAATACATAATTTGGGAGTAGTGAGATTTTTTTTTTTTTTTTTTTTTTTTTGAGGTGGAGTCCTGCTTTGTTGCCTAGGCTGGAGTGCAGTGGTGTGATCTCGGCTCACTGCAACCTCCACCTCCCGGGCTCAAGCAATTCTCCTGTCTCAGCCTCCGGAGTTGCTGGGACTACAGGCGCATGCCACCATGCCCGGCTAATTTTTTTGCATTTTTAGTAGAGACAGGGTTTCACCATATTGGTCAGACTGGTCTTGAACTACTGACCTCAGGTAATCCACCACCTCAGCCTCCCAAAGTGCTGGGATTACAGGCGTGAGCCAATGTACCTGGCCGAGTATTTGAGATTCTTTTTTTTAAACGGAGTTTTGCTCTGTTGCCAGGCTGGAGTGCAGTGGCACGATCTTGGCTCACTGCAACCTCTGCCTCCTGGGTTCAAGCAGTTCTCCTGCCTCAGCCTCCCGAGTAGCTGGGATTACAGGCACTCGCCACCATGTCCAGCTAATTTTTGTATTTTTAGTAGAGACGGGGTTTCACCATGTTGGCTGGGATGGTCTCAATCTCTTGACTTTGTGATCCGTCTGCCTCAGCCTCCCAAAGTGCTGGGTGGCGTGAGCCACTATGCATGGCCTGGAGTGGTTATTTTCATCTGGAAGAGGAAAGTAGAAAGGAGTGCAGAGTAAGAGGAGGTGAGGCTTGAATAGCATCAAATAAGAAGGTGCTTGTCAGACAGACAAGGTGCAGGAAGTAGAGAGAACATGTTTGACATGGAACAAAGCAGTTTGGTGTGTTCAGAAATTTGTAATCTTTGTGTGTGGAGAGTAGGATGTTGGTTGTGGTCCTCCTCTCAGTTGATGACCGATAATGGTAGAGGGGGCAAGAGTCAGATCACAGAGAGCCTAACCAAGGAGTTCAAACTTTTATCTTACATGTAACAGGGAATGTGGGAGGTTTAATTTTTTTTTTTTGAGACAGGGTCTTGCTCTGTTGCCCAGGCTGTAGTGCAGTGGCACAGTCATTGTTCATTGCGGTGCCAACCTTCTGGGCACAAGTGATCCTCCCACTTCAGCCTCCCAAGTGGCTGGGAATACAGATATACTCCAGTCCACACAGACAAATTTTTAATTTTTTAGAGAGACAGGGTCTCACCCTGTTGCCAGGGCTGGTCTGGAACTCCTGGGCTCAAGCAGACCTCCTGCTATAGCCTCTCAAAGTGCCGTGATTATAGGCGTGAGTCACCATGCCCAGCCAAAAATATTTTATCTAAAATGATCTCAAACTAATAGAGGAGTTGCAAGAATCTTGTATACCCTTTACCCAGATTCAGCAATTGAAAATGTTTTGCTATATTTGCTTTATTGTGTTTGCTCTCTCTGTAGGTATCATTTTTTCCCCTAAATCATTTGCTAGTTTGTCCCTAACTACCTCTGTGTATATTTCCTAAGAGCAAGGACATTTCCTTATGTGATTATAGTACATTACCAAGTTAAAGAAATGTAACATTGATATTCTATTATCTGATATAGTCTATATTCAGATGTTCTAAAAAGGATCTTTATAGCATTTTTTTTCCCCTGGTCCAGGATCCAATCTGGAAATATATACTGCATTTAGTTGTTAAGCACTTGAAAGTTTTAAGCAAGATAGAGTATGAAATACATTTTAGAAAGATCTCCTGACCTCAGTGTGGGGGTGGACTGGAAAGATCTGTAAACACAGCCAGAAAGATTGTAATAGTCTAAGATGAGAAATGATAACACAGTAGCTGCTGAAATAGAGACACATCAACTATAAAAAATTTTTAAGTACAGTCCATGAAATCTGAAGCTTATATAAAAATTTGGAGATGGGACAGGGGGTGAGTGAGAAAGATAATTTGAGAATGACTCCCATGTTCCTGGCTTGAAGGACTATCTGAATTGTGAGAGACTTTTAGAAGGTATCAAATGAATTAAAAAGAAGAATTAAAGAGCAGATATGTGAGGGGGACGCATGATGAGAGATATATGCTTGGGAATCATCAGTATTATTGTGAATGAAGTGAAAGGAGTAGTTGATAGAACAAGTATTGTGGAAACAGAAAAGAGAACTGGAAGGAGTGAGAGGAAGTAGAAATATTTGAAGAGAAGGCAGAGGAAGAAGAGCCAACAAAGAAATAGAGAAGGAAGGAGGAGAGAGTAGTATTTTGGAAGTGAGTTAAAGGAGGAAGTTCAATAACTGAAGATGCTAAGTAGACTCCAAGTAAGTTGTATACTGAAAATAGTCATTTGGAGTTGCCAGTTGGAAGCTTACTAGTACCCTTACTAAAGCAGCCTCAGTAAGGCAGCAGGAACATGAGCCAGATCACAGAGGATCGAGGGCTGAGAAGGATGAAGTGGGGAGAGATGGAGTTGCTTATTATTATTATTATTATTTTCTTTGAGACAGAGTCTTGCTCTGTCACCAGGCTGGAGTGCAGTGGCGTGATCTCGGCTCACTGCAACCTCCGCCTCCTGGGTTCAAGCCATTCTCCTGCCTCAGTCTCCTGAGTAGCTGGGACTACAGGCGTGTGCCACCACGCTGGGCTATTTTTTGTATTTTTAGTAGAGATGGGGTGTCAACATCTTGGCCAGGATGGTCTCGATCCCTTGACCTTGTGATCCGCCCTCCTTGGCCTCCCAAAGTGTTGGGATTACAGATGTGAGACACCACGCCTGGCAGAGTTGCTTATTTTTTAAAGAAATTTGACTCTGAAGGACAGTAGAGATAAGGAACTGGCTGAATCTAGGGAATATTTTTTTCTTCTTTTTCTTAACTAAATGGGATTGCTCCTGGAAAAGAGTTCCTGCTTTTGTGTCTTTTTTTTTTTTTTTTTTTTTTTTTTTTTGAGATGGAGTTTTGCTCTTGTCACCCAGGCTGGAGTGCAATGGCACAATCTCGGCTCACTGCAACCTCCACTTCCCGAGTTCAAGTGATTCTCCTGCCTCAGCCTCCCCAGTAGCTGGGATTACAGGCATGCACCACCACACCCAGCTAATTTTGTATTTTTGGTAGAGACGGGGTTTCTCCATGTTGGTCAGACTGGTTTCAAACTCACAACCTCAGGTGATCCGCCCACCTCGGCCTCCCAAAGTGTTGGGATTACAGACGTGAGCCACCGCACCCAGCCTGGTTTTGTATCTTTTGAAGTATATGGAATGATTTAGGATTATTCTTGATGTTATGGCACTATTTGTATAATCTAAGAAATTTTTAAAAAGCATTTATTTGTGGCTTGAATTTTAAATTGAATTTTTAAAAAATTTATTGAGGAAAGTTTGAAATATACTCATAGAGAAACTAATGTCTTTGATATATAGCCCCAAGTTTTAACAGTTAATGTTTTTGTCAGTCTTTTTCACCTTGATCTATTTTAATGCAATTCCAGATACCTCGTCATTTCACCTGTAAGTGCCTAAGTAAAGATCATGATTTTACATGATTTTCTTCGCATGATTTTTGCAGATTTTCTAAGTAGTCCCACTTTAGGATCCAAAAGTAAAACCGAATTATTAATGTTACAGAAGAATTACCTACCTAGCAGTGGATTTATCAAAGCATCCCTGTCTGGGAAGACCTGGGCTTCCCAGACAGGCCTGAGGATCATCACACGGTGTTCAGCACATACCACCAGGGGCAGGTGCACCCTGGCTTCTGAAGTAGCACCTGAGAATCCCCTGTGTCTAGTACCTGCTTCATGAATAACATTCCATAGGCTTCGGAAAGACTGTGGTTTAGGCTCTAATTTATTCAACTTGAATAATTTCTCCTTGAAATACTGAGAATAGCTTCTCTTTTGCTGTACAAATTCCGATTATCCCATAACACAGACTCCTCAGTTGGACTTATCTCTCTTCTTTATTCAGTCAGGACAGGCATTGTCACATCTTTTCTGCTGGGGATGAGGGTGAAAGAGGCTTAGGGTTCAGAGGAACCTCCCTGGCCTCCTCTAGGAAAATCTCCCAATGACTTTGCAAACCTGACTGAGTTTGAGAACTTCCCTCAGCAGATAGAGGCACCAGAAGGAGCATTGGGGCAGCCCAGCCTCACACATCTGCTTCCTTGGGGATTATGTTATGACTTGTAACGCTGTGGGAGGGGTACTGTCACTCTGTTGACAGTAATAAGTTGCAAAATCTTCAGGCTGCAGGCTGCGGATGGTGAGAGTGTAATCTGCCCCAGATCCACTGTCACTGAACCGAGAGGGAATCCCACTTTGCAGACTGGGTGCAGCATAGATCAGGAGCTTAGGAGTTTTCCCTGGTTTCTGCTGATACCAATTTAAATTATTGCTAATGCCCTGACTCGCCCGGCAAGTGATGGTGACTCTGTCTCCTACAGATGCAGACAGGGAGGATGGAGACTGGGTCATCTGGATGTCACATCTGGCACCTGAAGTTGGAAACATAAAAACAAATATTGTTGCAATTAATCATGTTATCAGAGGACTTCCCTGAAGTTCCAGACAGTACTGAGCACACTGACCGAGTATAATCCTAGTGTTCTCCTTCCTTACCTGGCAGCCAGAGCACCAGGAGCCCCAGGAGCTGAGTGGGGGCCCTCATGTCTGTGCTGTGTCCTGACTGGGGCTGACTCCTGCTCCGGGTGTGACCAGCCTATAAAAAGTCTTCAGGGCAGGGGGCTGTGCTCTAGGAACAGGCAAATCAGCAGGGGATGGGGCAGGCTGAGCACAGCTGCAGGGCTGGCTCAACTCAGTAACTCAGCACAGGGGCGCAGTATCCCCAGAGTCCCAGGTCAAACCAGGGCAGCACAGATTTACCTTGAAAGAATGCATTTCTCATTGGTGGCCATATGGTTACAGAACATATTTTTGGAGTGAATTTTCAAAATTTTAAATCAACCTAAGACTAGATTAAATAATATATTTATACTTGTATTAGGAGTGTATAGGAAAGCATCATTTTTGGCAGAAAATTTACAATAAAGTTGTAGAATGTGGGGCTGTCAGAAATTTCAGTTAGTCTCAAAGGAATTTGATGAGTGTAAAAGTATTTAGTGCTATAATAACAATGTCAGTGTGAAATTGCTTCTTGTTTGAAATGAATATAAAAAGAATTTATCAGAAGCATCTTTAATAAATTCAATAGAATTTACTAACAAACTTAAGACATTGTCCCTAGGAGTAAAAGGAAAAACAATTCTCTGAAGATGCACAAAGATGATAACTGTGTCACGCATAGATCTGCCATTATCTAGAGCTATGGGTCTCTTTAAGACCCAGGGGCTAAATGGGCTGCACCTTATTCTTGGCGTGATGATCCCCATATTCTATCCCCTTTCCTGCCTTTGGTATAATTTCTTATGGTTCTCCAGCATGGAGAGCTGACTAGTAACACCAGGTCTCATTATTTCAACTAAAATCTCTGTTTCACTCGCTGACTATAGGAGCCTGGATTAAAATCAACTTGAAGCCCTGTATCAATCTAGGCTCAAATAGTCAATTGTTTCAAAGTAGGATGACAAAGGCCACATCCCCTGAGTAATGCTCTGAGCTGCGCTCCCCACCAGCCTGTTCCTGGGGTCTCAGGAGCATCTGCCCTAGAGTCTGGCTTTCTGGAGAGCAGGTGAGGGGGAAAAGCCAGGTCAGTGAGCCTCTCTCCTTAGCGAGGGCAGCTGCTGCCCAATGCATGTTCTTGCCATGCACCAGGGCATCATCCTGACCCAGATGCCAGCCACCCTGTCTCACATGCATTTAGAGAGAATCTCCATCTTCTGCCAAGACACTGCCCATGTAGATGAAAAAGTGTTTTGCATCCAAACATATCTTAAGCACTGATTTGCACCTCAATACTTCACACAGATGCCTTTGCCCAGGGCGTGTCGGCCTGGCTCAACAGCAGGGGAAGTGGAGCCAATTACATCAGTGTCAGTGGACTGAGAAATACTCCAGGGAGTAGTTCTCATGCACGACTACCCATGGCCAGACCAAGGTAGTGCAGCCTATGCACAAACCTCCTCCTGCTTTTCCAGAGGACTGGATTTCTGGGAAATGGCTACCGAACAGGCTGCCAGGATCCATATATCCAGATTCAGAGAGATACATCTCTGGATTCAAATGCACTTTTTCTTTGTGCATAATTTTAGCAGTCATTGTTACTATGCCTTGGGGATTCTAGACATTATACTTCAGCTGACTCTCTATGGCCCTTTCTCCCCTTCACTGCTCTATCTGAACCTGGGGAGGCAGCTCAGGCTGCAAATGAGGCAGACCTCATGGCCTGGAATTAGCATCCCCTAGGACGGTTGTCAATCAGTGATGACAAGGGAGGTGTACACATCCCCCAGCTCCCTCACCTCTCAGGTGGAATAACAGAGGCATTTTTCCTGTGTTTCTATGTGGGCTTGAGCTCTCGTCATCCTCAGAGGTGGCTCCTTCTGAGGCACTTTTCACTTTCCCTTTCCCTCCTCCCCTCCCTTGCTCACTTGCTTGTTTCCCGCACTTTGTAAATATACTGCCTGCATGCGAATCTTTGGCATCCTTCTCACTGAGGGGACCCAACCTAATGCATTGGAAAAATCCTCATTCTTGGAGGGCATCGTTGGTTTGAATTATTGCCACTTCTCATGTTTTAATGCCTAGGGAAATTCCAAAAATTTAGGAAATCTTTAAATTCCCTTTGCCAATCTTTCTTAGATTTGATTTTAGCAGAGATTCATTTTCTCTAGGTCACAAAATCACAGAAGCCTTCCACAAATGGCTACACAACATAGAGTCCACATAGAGCAGAGGCTCAGAATCTCCCAGGATTTAACATCCACACATCAGACAGTCCTAGAGTCTCAGGTTTTTTCTAGGTCGATCGCCTCATAAATCTGCCTTGTGATATTTTTATTCTACCTTAGGGGAAGGCCATTGTGTGGATGATGAGAGTTGTTTGTGGAATGAATAATACACCCACTAAAGACATCATTGTCCTAATATCTGGAATCTATGATCATTACTTATGAACAAGTCAAAAATAACTTGGCAGACGTGGTTGAGAATTTTGAGGTCAGGAGAGTATCCTGAATTATCTGGGTGAGACCATCATAATCACAAGGGTCCTTACAATAGGGAGGGAGGAAGGTAACAGCCAGAGAGGACCTGGGACAATGGACAGGGAAATTGGAGTGATGGAGGAAGGGGCCATGCTGCTAGGAATGTGGGAACATCAGAAAGATGGAATGCTCGACATTGGATTCTCTCTCTTGAAGCCTAGAATGAATAGAGCCCTATTACTCCTTGATTTTACTTCATTGAGACTTCTGACCTCCAGAAATGTAAGATAATACACTTGTGTTATGTGGAGTAGTAAAGTTGTGGTAATTTGTTACAGCAGCAACAGGAAACCAATGCAAGGGGAAGGGGTGTGTTTTACTTCCCTAGTGTATCACTGTCCTCTGTTCTCCCAAATAGTTCTGTGTTTTTGTGTTTGCTGTCAATTTCAACAAGAGACAGAAAACATTTTTCTATGAGGAGAGCTAGTACCACAATTCTTCTTACGTAGAAAGTGTCTTGAGTAATTCTCTGGGTTAGGTCTTGTACAATCTTGGTATCTGAGAGCCTGGAGGTCATCTCTCACAGCACATGAGAAGAGGAAGGGGATGCGGGTTTGCTGTTTTAACATTCATAGGGCAAATTGGATGTACAAGACCCATTCTTTTTATTATTATTATTATTGTTAAGTTCTAGGTTACATGTGCACAACATGCAGGTTTGTTACATATGTATACATGTGCCATGTTGGTGCGCTGCACCCATTAACTCGTCATTTACATTAGGTATATCTCCTAATGCTATCCCTCCCCCCTCCCCACACCCCACAACAGTCCCCGGTGTGTGATATTCCCCTTCCTGTGTCCACGTGTTCTCACTGTTCAATTCCCACCTATGAGTGAGAACATGCAGTGATTGGTTTTTTGTCCTTGCGATAGTTTGCTGAGAATGATGGTTTCCAGCTTCATCCATGTCCCTACAAAGGACATGAACTCATCCTTTTTTATGGCTGCAAGCGAGGACTGAGTCAGAGAGATGGGGATGGCAGAGGAGACAAAATGTGGTCAGGGCCGTGTAAGATGTGACCCTGCTGCCATATCTGAAAGAAAGGCTGTTGGTGTTTGTAAAGGCTTTGGGCAAATTGTGCTTTGTAGACAAAACTGTAGAAGGGTCTGGGTTTAAGCTTAGTGTCAGCGTGATGAGGACTAGAGGTCGCAGTGAGCTTGTGTTAAGAAATCCACCCTGCACTTCTGGCTTTGTCTCTTTTCCGGTTTTATAGGTGGTGGGTCCCTCTATGGAATGAACGTGGCTCTGTGGAAGGAACATAAGTTAAGGTCAGACAGACCTAGATTCCAAGTTCAGCTTCGACAACTGCTGACCAAGTGACTTTTATGCAAATCAGCCATGTGCTGTCATGAACAGTTTCCTCATGTGTGAAATGGGGCACTGAGGATGTGAAGGGGTGTCCTGAGGGTTCCGCCAGCTGATGCACCATGAAGTGTACATACATGTATAGACAGACACACACACATACATGAGAAGAGTATCTAGTGCCTCTTTTATGCATTCTTGAGTAACTCAGAATGTTATGTGAGATATTAACAGTCATATGTCATTTTCAACTAAAATTATCAATATTTATCTTATAACTAACAGATGCTTCTCTGTACACTGTAGGTTTCATGTACATTTTTTCAATCACAAAATGTTTCACCAATCTATTTACGTCTAGTATCAGAAAGTTAAGCAAGGAGATTGCAAACCAACACAACACCTTTAGTCTGGATTTTCCCGGAGCCCCATTTGTGTTAGTGTCCTCGGGCTACTGTAACAACACAACAGGAATGGAATCTCTCATAGTTCAGAAGTCCAGATCAGTTTCACTGGGCTAAGATCTTGGAGTCATCAGTTCTGGCTCCTTCTGAAGCTCTAGGGAGCAGTCTGATTTAGCTCTTCCAGCTTCTGGTGGCTTCTCTCTCCCGGGATGTGGACACATCACTGCAATCTCTGTCTCTGTGTTCACACTGCCTTCTCCACTTCAGTCTATGCTAAATCTCTCTCTACCTCTTGTTTTTTTTAGGACACTTGAGTTTGCATTTAAGTCCCAGTTGATTAATCTAAGACCATCTCCCTGTTTCAAGCTCCTTAATTTACACCTGCAAAAGCTGTTTTCCCAAATGAGATACATGCATAGCCTTCATGGAATGAAACCTCACTATTTGGGGATGATACTCAGTACTACACCATTACATAACCAGGTCTCAGTGTTAGTCCTGTACATACATCACAATCTCTCTCTCTCTCTCTCTCTCTCTCTCTCTCTCTCTCTCTCTCTCTCTCTCTCTCTCTCTCAATGTCCACACACCCTGGCTTCCTCCTTTTCTCAATGTCATAAATCTCTTCAATTCCTTAAGTGTATCCAGTGATACCTATAAACAAATAAGTATCTGAGAAAAGTCTCAATCAGTTTAGAAATTTATTTGGTCAAAGTTAAAGAAATATCAGTGAAACAGCCTCAGGAGGTCTTGAGAACGTGTGTCAAAGGTCGTCGGGCTACAGGTTGGTTTTACACGTTTTAGGGAGACATAAGATATCAATCAATACGTGTAAGCTGTACATTGCTTTGATATGAAAAGGCAGGACAGCCCGAAGGAGGGGGGATGTTGGGGACTTCCAGGTCCTAGGTGGATTCAAAGATTTCATAGGTGGTTGAAAGAGTTGATCTAATGACCTGTAATCAACACAAGGGAGTTTCTGGGTTTAGAAAAAGGGTTTTGGAGCCAAGGTTGCATCATGCAGATGGAGCCTCCAGGTAGCAGGCTTCAGAGAGAATAGATTGTAATTGTTTCTTAGCAGACTTAAAAGGTGCCAAACTCTTAGTTAAATCTCTCTGGGTCAGGAAAGAGACTTAAAAAGGAGTCTCTACAGAATGTAGATTTTTCCCACAAGAACCAGCTTTGCAGAGGCATTTTTAAATACATTAAATAACAATATCTTGGGGAAAATACTTTGATTTCTCTTAGGACGTGGTATCTGTCACATTGGTAACTTATTGCTATAAAGAGTTTTCTTTGTCAGTCTCAAGGTCTCTGTCTTCATATTAAAAGCTGGTCAGTTGTGCCTGAATTTTAAAGGGAAGAGGGTAAGTTAAGGCATATCCAATCATCCGTTCCGATCATGGGCTGCATTGTATTTCAGGTTGATTTTGGTGTGTGCTTGGCTGAGAGGAGGAGTTCATTCAGTTGGTTAGGGAGCTTAGAGTTTCATTTTTGGTTTACACACCTATGTCCAGGTAAGAGGGCCCCACACAGGAGGGCTTGCTCAGAACCTGGCTTGCAGGGCTGCTTACAGACCTTCTATGTCTCCTGTTGTCATGCACAAGGAAGGACACAGCCAATGACAACCCTCAGCCATCCGAGGAGAAGCTGTGTCTGCAGAGGACGGTCATGAGCTGTGAGTCTAGAGACCTGTGATTGTCTTCAGGGGCCTGTGGTCCTCGGCTTTCATAGGAGTTGTGGGGGCACTGGCTCAAATAGCATCCACCAGGATTCTAATCAGAATATCTCATTCACAGAAGGCAGTGGGTGATATGACAGCACAGAGGGACTCTGTGGGTCCAGCTGCATGGAGCACTCTGGGAGAGTCACTGGCACCCGTGCTAGACAGAGCTTCATTCAACTTCTGGAGCACACGGATTTAGATCTCTTTACATCATTTTGAAAGACCACTTATCATTCTGAAGGAAACCCCTGTAATTAACTAAGGTAACATCTTTAATAGGTAGAAAGAAAAAACTGATTATTTTATTGCCAAGATGATTACAAGAAAAGAAAGAAACAAAAATAGCATGAAGGAAAGAGCAACACTAGACTGAGGGCTTTGGGTAAGAGGTTGAGACTTAGTAGTGAATGCCCTGGGCCATCTTCTGTCAAAAGGGAGGGACAATCAGCAAAGGGAAATATGCAGTAGAGGCAAAATCTTGGTTAGTAAAAGAATCCTAAGAGAAAACAAGAAGTCTCCTTCCTGAGCATCATGTTGGTGTCGGGAAGATGCACATAATCCCCCCATTGCATGTCTTAACACTTTTCAGCAATTAGGGCTCAGCACGAATTTAGAAGACACCATTCACTTCACAGCAGATGGGGACACAGTCAAGGCAGCGGTGAGAGGCAAGGCTGGGCTTTCAGTCTCAGAGCACAGAGCAGGTTCCCCACTACTCCGCACCCTTGTGTCTCCTCCCAGATGTTCCAGATGTTCCACCTCATTCTTGCCTTAAGGGCTCCAAGTTGTTAATGGGACAGTAGCCCTCTTCCTTTCCCAGGGTTTCTAAGAATTTGGCTCTCTTTTGTGTATTGCGGGGTTTGTTTGCCATCTAGAGGCAGGTTTTTGGCATAGCAACTTATAGGCTTTTTCTACTTGTGATAGCGAAAATAAATACATAAATAAATTCATCATAAATAATAAATTGACTTAATGCATTGAATCTGTAAAAAAAAAATAAGGTCAGTTTGAGAGCTTAAAAGGAGCCTGATGAGGTTAAAAAGACAAATTACCTTTAGTAAAGAGCAGTTGGAGCAATAGATGATTCTTTCTTTAATCAATGACATTTTAGGAGTAATTATCAAATGGTAAATAAAACTTGAAATAAGCTGATAAACTATAATTTTATATGAAAAAAATATTTCCAAGAACCATACAAATACATTTTCAGATTAAAACAAACAAAAATGTGGGTTTATCATCAGATCCGCTAAATGGAAGATTTCTCAAATGTGTGCTTGGAGCAAAAATAACACTTATCCCTATTTAAAAGTTGAAGATTTTTGAGCTTTCGAAGAAAACAGCTTTCCCTTCACTCTGTTCCACTCACACTTCTGACGATGGCCATGGGGCAAAAAGCCGCGGCGCTGGTGGGGCAAAAAGCCGAGACGCGCAAAAAGCTGCGGTGGTGGGGGGGCAAAAAGCCGCGGCGGCGGAGGCAAAAAGCAGTGGGAGCAAAAAACCATATAACGTCGCGGCGGCGGGGGGCAAATAGCCGCGGCGGCGGGGGCAAAAAGGTGCAAAAAGCAGTGGTGGCGCGGGCAAAAAGCCAGGGCGGCGGGGGCACAAAGACGCAAAAAGCCACAGTGGCGGGGGGGAGTGGGGGGGCAAAAAGCCACAGTGGCGGGGGGGGGGGGCAAAAAGCCACAGTGGCGGGGGGGGGGGCAAAAAGCCGCAGCCGGCAACAAGCCGCGGCGGCGGGGGGAAAAAGCCGCGGCAACAAAAAACCACGGCGGCGGCGGGGATGCAAAAAGCTGCGGAGGCAAAAAGCCGCGGCGGCAGGGGGGCAAAAAGCCGCGGCGACGGGGATGCAAAAAGCCGCGACGGGCAAATAACCGCGGCACCGGGGGGGGCAAATAACCGCGGCACCGGGAGGGCAAAAAGCCGCGGCGGCGGGGGTGAAAAAGCCGTGGCGGTGGGGGGGGGGGGCAAAAAGCCGGGTCGAGCAAAAAGCCGGCAGCAGGGGGCAAAAAGCCGCGGCGACGGGGGTGCAAAAAGCCGCGACGGGCAAATAACCGCGGCACCGGGGCGGCAAAAAGCCACGGCGGCGGGGGTGAAAAAGTCGCGGCGGCGGGGGAGCAAAAAGCCGGGTCGGGCAAAAAGCCGCGGCGGCGTAGGATAAAAAGCCTCGGCTGGCAAAAAGCCGCGGCGACAAAAAGCCGCGGCGGTGGGCGGAAAGAGCCGCGGCGGGCAAAAAGCCACGGCGGCGGGGGGGGCAAAAAGGTCGGGAAAAAAGCCGCCGAGGCAAAAAAAGCCGCGGCGGCAGAAAGCCGTGGAGGCGGGGGGCAAAAAGCCGCGGCGGAGGGGGTGAAAAAGCCGCGGCGGCGGGGGGCAAAAAGCCGCGACGTCGGGGGGCAAAAAGCCGGGTCGAGCAAAAAGTCGCGGCAGCAGGGGGCAAAAAGCCGCGACGGGCAAATAACCGCGGCACCGGGGCGGCGGCGGCGGCGGCGGCGGGGGAGCAAAAAGCCGGGTCCGGCAAAAAGCTGCGGCGGCGTGGGGTAAAAACCCGCAGCGGGCAAAAAGCCGCGGTGGCGGGGGGGCAAAAAGCCGCGGCGGCGGGGGTTCAAAAAGCCGGGTCTGGCAAAAAGCCGCGGCGGTGGGGGGAAAGAGCCGCGGCCGGCAAAAAGCCGCGGCGGCGGGGGATCAAAAAGCCGGGTCTGGCAAAAAGCCGCGGTGGGCAGAAAGCCGTGGGGGCGGGGTGCAAAAAGCCGCAGCGCGCAGAAAGCCGCGGCGGCGGGGGACAAAAAGCCGCGGCCGCGTGGGGGGGCAAAAAACCCGCGGCGGGGGGACAAAAAGCCGCGGCGGCGGGGGTGCAAAAAGCCGCTGCGGGCAAATAAGTGCGGCACCGGCAGGGGGGTTAAAAAGCCGAGTCGGGCAAAAAGCCGGGTTAGCAAAAAGCCACGGCGGCGGGGGGGAAAAAGCCGTGGCGGCGGAAAGGCGCGGTGGCGTGGGGGAAAAAGCCGCGGCGGCGGGGGCGCAAAAGAGCCCGATTGACATATAGCTGAGGCGGCGGGGTGCAAAAAGCCGCGGTGGGCATAAACCCGAGGCGGCGGGGGGGGGGTGCAAAAAACCGCCGTGGGGAAAAAGCCACGGCGGCGGGGGGCAAAAGCCCGCGGCGGGCAAAAAGCCGCGGCGGCGGGGGGACATAAAGCCGCGGTGGCGAGGGGGGTCACAACAAAGCCGCGGCGGCCAAAAAGCCGAGGCGGGGTGGGGGGCAAAAAGCCGCGGCGGCAGTGGGGCAAAAAGCCACGGCGGCGGGGGGTAAAAAGCCGCGGCGGGCAAAAAGTCGCGGCGGCGGGGGACAGAAAGCCGTGGCGGGCAAAAAGCTGAGGCGGGGTGGGGGGGAAAAAGCCGCGGCGGATGGGGGCAAAATAGTGGAGATGGGGTAGAAGGACGGCACAGCTTGGTATTGCTGGAGTGTGATGTGATAGGAAATGTGCAGCCAAAGACAAAAAAAGATGTAAGCTTGACTCATTGCAGCTAAGAACCCAGATGTTATCTTGAGGGTATTAACTAATAAGCAGTTTAAATCAGAATGGCATATTCTGATTTGTTTTTTGTATGTTCACATTTGGCAGGCATAGATACTGTTTGAAAAGAGGAAAGACAGTAGATAGAGGTAACAAACTTAAATATGTGCGAAGTCTAGAAACAAGAGACCAGGGGGATAAGGACCTTTCAAAATAAAATGCAAGATTTGAAAACTGATTGGCTGGGGCATGAGGAAAAGGCAGGTCTTTAAGGTCAATCCCTGTTTTGCTTTAAGTTGTTAGGGGTTGGTTTTATCACATATTGTAGAACATGTCATTTCAGTTTTGAACATCTTGAGTTAAATTGTCCTAACATATCTTATGAATTTGATTTTCTTCCCTGGGAAGCTAATATTTCAAAAACTGAAAGAGTATATAGATTTCCAACTTGTATCCAATTTATAAAACTATCTCTAGGCTGCTGATTTCAGGAGGAGGCTCATGAATATTCTCTTTTCAGAGAATATATCAGGAGTTAACAACAGCTTCAATATTTGTGGACGACCAGTTAACTAAGCCACCTCTTAAGTGTATTTAGATGGGAAATCTTAGCTGAAGATATTCAATAATGAACCAACAGTGACTAAAAAATTCAACATTTAAGTATATTTCATTGTAATTAATTTGAATTGAAGTAGCAGCTAGTATTTACTACATTGAACAATGCAAATAAGAGGAAAAAATTAATAACTATCTCTAATACCACATGCCAAAATCCTCATCAATTTATTCTAGCTAAAGGAGTTGATCAGAAGCAGCAGTTGAAAGCACCAACTAAACCAGCTGGGGTTGGTTCACTGTCGTTCTCTCAGAACCATCTCTTCTCTGAACAAAACAAGTACAGGAGTTCATTGTGAATCTGCATTCTCCTTGCCTATTTTAAGGTTTTGATGTTGACACTAATTTGTGAAATCCCTCCTGTGGTGTGATATTTCGTTTTCCTTGCTTTCTGTTAGGACAAGAATGCTTCAGCTCTTAATTTAAAATTATGTTTCTCCCTCCTAGGTTGAGTGAACTTAGAATGCATTCTCTGACATATCCAAGTTTTTGTTAATATGAATTTCAGGAAAAAAGCATACTTAATTAGCTAAGACTTCTTATTCTAGGCTTGACCCTATGTTCGACATCTTTTGAATTTCTAGTTGCATGGGCTGCTCTCTGACACTGGTTAGTGACCTGGAAGCTGTATTAATGTTAGGGGAGGTGGTGTATGAGCATTAGAGGTATCCTTGCAAGGAAAGACTTGTCTTATCTCAATACGTCTTTTTTTTTTTTGCACACAAGAAAGTCAATGTTTGAGTCTTCTAAAATCTTCCTATTTCCAAGTTGCAGAGTACCATTGATTCTTAAACAAAAACCTAATTTTTGACTCAGAGACGTGGCGAGGTAGTGAATCACCATTATAATTTAACAATCTTCAAGATAAAATTATCTCTGATATTTAGATTTTGCCCAATTATTAAGATATTTGGGTGTTTTGTTAAGAATGGAAGACTCTTGTCTCTTGAGCAGAGACTATAAAGGCCTCAGATGATCATTTTTAATTTTATGCTCTTTTCTTTAACACCTTCAACACAGTTGGAAGCAGCCGGTATTCCCCAGAGTTGTTGTGTTTTTTAAACCAAATGCATGGTTCAGTGGTAGAAAACTGGGCAGATCCAAGCTGTTTTCAGTAAACACTTCATTTCAGGTGACCTATTTCATATTAAATAATCTCTAGATCCTGTCTTCGAAACTAACTAGATCAGATAACCTACCCTGGATTTTCTCCTTTTTAGGGTCTGTGAGCTGCAGTCACTCTTGTGAAAATGATTGCAGTGACAAGATAGAGTTGTAGATGGGGAAAATGTTTTGACTAATTTAAGCATAGTGGTATTTCATATGAGAATTTAAGTTACACACATTTGAAAATTATAATGGAGTCTCTTGGCTGAGCTTTAAAAAAAAATAGCGTTTTGGCTAAAAAGGGAACTGCTACCTCTCCTAAAATCAGAAAGATGTTACAGTAATTCTCCATTCTCTAGAATTATCAAGAAGCACCTTTGTGATGATTTACTTTTGCTCTTGGGAGTGTGAGCCCGTGTAGTCGTGGAACCATCAATTAGAATGGTGGCTTTCTGATCCCAAAGTCATTCGTTCTGAAAACAATATTTTTTCATAAATTTGAAAGTGAGAAGTTTTGATCTTGCCATTCCCACGTAACTCTCTTAATAAGAGGCATCAGCATGCTTCAGTGACAGCTGTCACCTTCCAGTTCTGAGAGTCATCTTTGAGTTCTCCATTTCACTCCCTACACTCCAATTTAGCTGCAGTTCTCTTGGCCAGTCCTATGAAATACATCCATGGCCTAACGACTTCTCACCACTACTACCACTCATCCTGACAGCATTCTCACCTAAGTCACTACCTTTTTTCTCTGGATTAGAGTAGCCTCCCAATTTATTTGCTCACATAACCTATTTATTCTACACAGTGCACCAGATACACCCCTTTGAAATGCAAACACAATCATGTTATTCTCTGGTGAAATTATCTCATATATTCCTATCGCATTTAAAATTAATTCAGAATCATCCCATGATTATCAAAACCCTACATGCTCTTCCACAACATGGTTTACTTCCAAGATATCTCTTCAACTTTTTTTTTCACTCTACTGAATTGGTGACTAATAGTCATATTTTTGCTTTTGCTCAAAAAGTCTTGACTTGTAAATTTTTCAGTTTCTCCTTTATCCACAGGTAACTCTTTCCTCATAAGGTGAATTGCTTGCTTCCTTGAGTTCTGCTCTCAAAGATACCCTTCATTTTCTACCTAATATTAATAACTTTAATCATTCATTATTCCATTACTATGCTCTATAGTGTATACAATTTCTGTTCTTTGTCATGTTATTAACTAAATTATTTATTTGGTCCAGTAACGCATTCCATAAATATTGTGCACATAAAAATTGTGTTATTTTTATTCCTGTATGCTCAGCTGCCCAATAACAGTCTGATGATTAACATATTTGTTGAATGCACAAATACATTCTTTCACAAATATTAGTTTAATAATTTCATATTAAACTCCCTCTATACTTACAATATGAATTAGATAATTCAGAATAAACATTCCAGTGGAAAAAACTAAACAATTTGTTATAAAACATCCTTAAAAGCATCAGAAAGTTAATACAGCAATGAAGAATTACAGGACCAAATTAAGAATGGTATGAAAGCCTGTTGGTGACGCTTATGTTTGGGTTATCTCTTTACTTAGAGTGACTATAAATCTCAAAAGAGAACTAAAGGGAGAAATAACCGTATCTACTAACAGGGTAAGGGTACTTAAACATCTCTTAGTAATTGAGAAAATTGAAAGAAAAGAAAAAAGAGAAAGGGAGAAAGAGAAACAGCGAAAGGGATAATGAAGGAGAGAAAGAAGAAGACAAAGGAAGAGGAAGAAAAGTAAAGAGGAGGGGGAAGGAGGAAGGAAGAAAGGTGAAAAGAAAGAAGGGTAAACTTTTTAATAACATAATTTATCCTTCTAGAATATGAATGTTGGTCTATTTGATGATGTCCCACAGATTCATTAGTCTCTGCTCATTGTTTATTTTTTATTCTTTCTGTTTCTCAGAGTCAGTATTTTCCATTATCTTCTCTTCAAGTTCATGGCTTCTTCTGTGTGTGCAAATAGACTCTTAAATCCCTCTGGTGATTTTGAAATTTTTATCATTGTAGTTTTCCATTCCAGAATTTCTGTTATCTCTTTGCTGATATTCCTGCTTTTTAATATTTTTTTCTGATTCCTTTATTTCTTTGATTATGTTTTCCTTTTGACATTTGAGTATAATGAAGAGAGTTGTTTTAAAGTCTTTGTCTAGTAAGTTTGATGTCTGGGTTTCCTTAGGGATATTTTCTGTCAATTTATTTTGTTCCTTTGAATGAGCCACACTTTCCCATTCTTTGTATGCCTTGTAACGTTTTTTGAAAACTGGACATTCTAATAACTATAATTACTAAGTGGTTACTCTGCAAATCGAACACCCCCTACAAACACAGTAATGTTTTGTGGTTTTAAATTTTCTTTACTTATTATATTGTTAAGGATTTTTTTTTTTT
The DNA here is from genome assembly GCF_000001405.40 of Homo sapiens. Taxonomy (NCBI): domain Eukaryota; kingdom Metazoa; phylum Chordata; class Mammalia; order Primates; family Hominidae; genus Homo; species Homo sapiens. The sequence continues at coordinate 142,315 of NT_187648.1, forward strand.
TTAGTGAAATTTTCCAAAGTGATTTACAAAACTGTTTGCTTTATAAGGTGTGGTCACCGAAGTCTTTTTGTTTCCTTAACAAATGTTAAGCTAATGTTTTGACAGTGATTTTCTTGTATGTCAGGAACCAATCAAACAGGCAAATACAAGAAAAACAAAAAGGAAAACAAGTAATCATTGTCCAGCAAAATATGTCTCTAGGCCATGCAGACTGGCTTTGTGCTGGGTTCTTTAAAGCCGGCACAAAGTGTGTGTTCACTCTTGCACTGAGTGAAGTTCAAGTTCACTCTTGCACAGAGCTTGCACTGAGGGGAGGGATCGGCCAAGGTGAAAGTGTAGGGTCTTCTTATGACATTTGTCAGCATGTGGCTTAACCTATGAATACATGTGACTTTCCAGACTCTCCCATGTACGTGAATGATTTTGTGTGTCTTTTTTTGAAATACTCTTCTCCACCTTTTCTTACTGTGCTGAAGGTGATCTACTATATGCGTAAACTTTAATTTTTGCCCTAAGCATCTGTGGTTTGTTAAGTCTCCTTGCAGAGTTTCTTAATAATGTCCATTCCTTATCTGTTCTGTATTCAAGCAACACAGAAAAAAAAGCCTTTCATGAGTCCTTTAGGTATCCCCCAGACCAGTCAGAACAGACACATAATAACTTGCGGGTAAGATCTTCTCTTGTTCCTTTGGACCATGGACCAGGCTTCCTCACTGGGAACGTGGGCTTCTGACACTTCAAAACTGCCAATTTGCTGGGGCAAAGACAAGTTTAAAATGTCGTAAAGTTTTCCAGTTGTCTTTTTCTTGAGTCTGCTTTCACTTGGTTGTTGTAATCTTTTGACCATTTTCCAGAGTTTTGGCAAAGTTTGTTCGGACAGTTTCTCTTAGTTGTGTGATGTTTCTGTGGGGAAATGACAGATTGCAGCTGTCTCCACTGCCATTTTGCTGATGCTCCTCTTTTGTCAATTTTTGCTTCATGTTATTATGCTTTGTTATTAGTTCATGTATTAGTTTTCTAGGGCTGCCATAACCAACTAACACAAACTGAGTGCCTTGAACAGCATACATTTATAGTCTTATAGTCCTGGAAGCTAAAAGTCTGAGATTGAGGTGTCAGCAGGGATGGTCCCTTCAAGGGCTATGAGAGAAAGCCTGTTCTGTGCCTTGTTTCTCGCTTCTGGTGGTTTAGTGGCAGTCTTTGGCATTCCTTGGCTAATCTCTGCCCTCATAATCACATGGTACTCTCCCTGTGTGTATGTCTCCCTCTACTCAAATTTCTTCTTTTAATAAGGACATCAGTCATATTGAATTCAGGCTCATCTGATTGTATCTTAACTTGATCAGCTGCAAATAACCTATTTCCTAATGAGGTCATATTCAGTGGTTAGAATTTCAGCATCTATATAGAGGAAACAATTTAGCTCATATCTGTGCATACATGATTGTAATAGCTATGTCTTCCTAAAGCGTTGACCCCCTTTTTACTACAATATAAATTTTTAAAATCCTATTCACATTTTTAATAGTCTATATTGTGTGTTATGAGTATAATGAGTTCAGTGTTCTTATGATTGCTCTTTGTAGGATATTTTTTGTCATCTTTTTACTTTCAATCCGTTAGTATCCTTGCATCTCAGCGTATATTGGGATCACTTGTTTTAATCCGGTCTGACAATCTCTGCCTCTGGAATGGATTTTAATCTGCTCACATTTAAGATTATAATTGGTATAATTCTATTTATGTCTGCCATTTTACCGTTTGTTTTATATATTTCCAAATATTTTTCTTTATTGCTTTATTTTGCAATGCAAGAATATTTTTTAAAATAGGGAACTTTAGATTACTAATGAATTATTTTATTATATATTTTTGAGACTTTTTATTGTTGTTGTAAGTTTACCATATAGGTGTATGGAAAATTAATTATTCAAATCATCTTCCAATTTATACTATTAAACTTTTAGTAATACATAGAAACATCATTCTTATATAAATCATTTTTATTTCCTCCATTTTAAAGTATTATCACTTTACACATTACATCTATTAAAGTTACAAAGCAAACAATACATTTTAGTAATTATTACTTTACCATCTAGAGTGATTACCTTATCACAATACATTTTTCTTCCAACTACCTCCTTTTTGATGTTACTGGAAAATATGTTATAGACGTATTACATTTCTACATGTCAAATACTCAGCAATACATTATGCACATATTATTATTATTATCATTGAGACGGAGTCTCCCTCTGTCACCCAGGCTGGAGTGCAGTGACACAATCTCCGCTCACTGCAAGCTCCATCTCCCGGCTTCATGCCATTTTTCTGCTTCAGCCTCCCGAGTAGCTGGGACTACAGGCGTCCGCCATCACGCCCGGCTCATTTTTTGTATTTTTAGTAGAAACGGGGTTTCACTGTGTTAGCCAGGATGGTCTCGATCTCCTGGCCTCGTAATAAGCCCGCCTTGGCCTCCCAAAGTGCTGAGATTACAGGTGTGAGCCATCGTGCCTGGCCATTATACTCATGTTATTTAATAAACAATTTATTATAAAGAGAAGAAATGCATTTTTACTGTCTTTTATAATGTCAATATTACGTATATCAGTGCTTTTTTTAAAATGTGGATTCAAGTGACTGTCTTATGTAACTTGCTTTTAGCCTTAGGAATTTTTTTAGAGTTTTTTTTTTTATATGGTAGGTCTGCCAGCAACAACTTCAGTTAATGTTTCTGTTTATCTGGCTAAGTCTTTGTGTTATTTTCATTTTTGAAAAATAATTGCTGGATAAGGAATTCGTGGCTGAGAGGTTTTTTTCCTTTGCATCTTTTGAATATATTATTCTACTGCCTCTTGCCTTCCATTGTTTCTCTTAAGTCAGCTGTTAATCTTACAAAACATAGGTGCTCAGAAAATAAACATGTGCATGAATATTTACAGCAGTAATATTCATACAGTCAAAAAGTGGAAACAATCCATATGCTTGTTGACTCATAAAGGGACACCCAATTTTCAGCTATAACGAAGAATGAAGTACTTATATATGGTATAATATTGGTGAAATTTGAAAGCATTATGTTAAGTGCACAAAAGGACAAATATTACTTGATTTGATTCACATGAAACATCAGGAATTGGCAAATCAATTGGGATATAAATCAGATTAGTGGTCATTAGGGCTCAGGGAAGCAGAATAGGGTGTAACCACTTTATGCATAATGGGTTTTTGTAAGGGACATGATGAAATTGCCCCGGAACATGGTGAATATACTAAAAGCAAGTGCATTGTATGCTTTAAAATGGTTGTTATTACTTTTGTATTATGAGATTTTTACCTTAAAAAACAAAAAAGAGAAAATAGCCTTACTCTATACATAATAAACTCAAGATATGTTACAAATTTACATGTGAAATCCAAAATACTATAATATTTAAGGAATAGCTAAGTAGAATAACACTGAAATTTAACATAATGAAGCATTTCCTTAAAAAAGGAAAAAGCACAGTAATTAAAAAGGGAAATATATTTAATATTTTTTCTCTCCATTAAGCATGCCATTAACTGAGTAAAAAATCAAGCTGCAATTATGTAAACTACATTTTCTAAAACCATAAAGAAAAGAAGAAATAAAAAGGTATTTGGGAAAAAAATCCAAAGGTACAGTCAACTACACAAAAAAAGCTTAGTCTCATTAATCATTATGAAAATGCAAATGGTAGCTGAAAGAAGATAAAACTACAATTCAAAGACAAAGCCTAAAATTTCAAACCCCCAAAAAGTCTGGGGTTTGGAGATCTGGGATGGAATAGGGTTCCTAACCTGACAACAATGAAAGAACCAAACTAACTTCAAAGTCATCACTTTACTTTATAGCAACGAGGTTGCCAAGAACTGAGTCAAAATGTGAAGGAAAACAAGCACCTGCAAGAAGAAAGAGGACAGATGCACTCACATAGGACAGATGCAAATAGACACCACTATGACAAGTAAAGCTGGAATAATCAATAAATTCCTAAAGCAAAGTGGGGCTGGTGAGATTGGGAGACCGCTGACAGCTGCAGAAGTTGGGAAAGATCCATCATCTTGAAAACTTTTTCCGCACAAACCCACTGCGATCTCTCAAGCAATTGGTAAGGAATCCAAGAGAGTCTGTATATGACACAGATCAGGGAGAGCAGAACACTTGGGAGGTGACCAGGTCTTGGGGGCCGAGCCCTTATGAATGGGATTAGTACCTTTATAAAAGAAGCTCAATGGAGTTCTTGTGTGCCTTCCAATATGTGAGGACATAGAAAGAAGGCACCATCTATGAACCAGGAAATTGGCTCTCATCAACACTGAATTTGTGAGCATCTTGGCCTGAGATCTTACAGCCTCAAGAGGTGTGAAAAAAGAAATATCTGCTGTTTTTTAGTCACCCAGTTTATGTTATTTTGTTAAAAGAGTCCAAACAGACCAAGATATCACACTTAATATGTAGGGGAAGGCAAGAAAAACTGCCACACTTAGAATACTCCTGATGCTGGGAGTATGAAAACAGGAAAAACAAAACAAAACTGCTCTTGAAGGTGAAGGAGGAATATCACTGAGCTCACCAACACAGCCAGGAAAGGAACAGAAGTGTGAGAATGCTACATTCCTGAGACCCTGAGAAAAAGTACCTGCATAAGACTGAGATGAAATTACCTACTCTAGTTATGATTGAAATCCCAAAAAGAAAAGAGGGAAAAGTAATGGAGCAAAAGAAATATTTTTCAAAATAACTGCCAAAAATATTCTAAAAGAAGTGACAGAAAATCAAACTTCAAATATAGGAAACTCAGAGAATGACAAATAGAACAAAAAGAAATAAGAATTACATCTTGAAAAATCTTTAAAAAATCAAGTCTAAATTTTATATCTTGCTCCAAATATTTAGAGATATAAATAGGTTTTCAACAAGATATGGAGAAAGCCTTATCATGGAAACACTAAAATAAAGCTGTGGAAGGACTACATTGATATTAGACACAACAGAGTTCGGAACAAGCAATAGTATCAGAGATGAGAGATAATAGATAATAGAATAATCCGTTCTCAAGAAGATGTAAACATCCTACTAATTAGGGTATGCAGCTAACAACAGAACCTCCAAATACATGAGGTAAAACATGAAAGAAATCAAAGGTGAACTAGAAAAATCCAAAATTATATTTGCAGACTTCAACACTTTTGTCTTAGTAATGGAAAGACTAGGCACAAACTCAGTAATCATGTGGAAGATAAGAACAACAATATCACCAACAAGACACCCAATCTTCAATGGCAGATACTCTTTCAAGTGAAAAAAAAAAAAAAAACAGTATGGCATATTCTTTAACAAACGCAGAATTTCTAATATTTGCGTTCTTGCTTCCTTCTTTCCGTCTTCCTTTCTCTTCCCTTCCCTTGCTTCTGCCTTCCTTTCTTCTTTTCCTCTTCCTTTTCTTTCCTTTTTGCTTTTCCTTTCTTTTCTTTTTTCTCCTTCCTTCCTTCTTTTCTTCTTTCTTTCTTTCCTCTTATTCTTCCTTCCCTCCTCCCTCCCTTCCTTTCTCCCTCCCTTTTCTTCCTTCTTTTCTCATATTCTTTCTTTCTTTCTCACGTTCTTGCTTTCTTCCCTTTTTTCTCCCTTCCTCCTGCCCTCCTTTTCTTCCTTCCTCCCTCACTTCCTTTCCTCTTTTTCCTTCCTTTGCCTCTTTATTTTCTTTGTTTCTTTGTCTTCCTCCCTTTTGCCATTCTCTCTTCCTCCTTTCCTTCCTCCTTTCCTTTCTTTCTTTCTTTCTCTCTTTCTCTCTCTCTTTCTCTTTCTTTCTTTCCTTCTTTCTTTCTTGTGTTCATGCTTTCTTTTTTCTCCCTTCCTGCCTTTCTCCCTCCCTCCCTCCCTCCCTTCCTTCCCTCATTTCCTCCTTCTTTTCTTTCTTCTTTCTTTATTTCCTTCCTTCCTTCTTTTTCTTTCTTTGTTTTCTTTCTTTCTCTTTACTACAATTCATATTAGTTTAAAAAAATTAAGAGAGGGAAACAGAAAAATAAAGAACGCTTTAATCTGCAGGTAAATAGATTATGTCTGCTGTAGGCAAAAGAATGGCCTCCCAAAAATTTTCATTTCCTAATTCCCAGAGTCTAACATACAAATATGTTAGGTTGCACGGCAGTGTGAAATTAGATTTCAAGTGAAATTAAGGTTGCGGAAAAATGATAGAGAGATTGTCTTAAATGGGTGGGATCAATGAAATCACAAACTTCCTTATAAGTGAAAGAAGAAGGCAGAAGAAAGGCAACCTTGGAGGTGGTGGCATGAGAAATTACTCAACATCACTTACTTTTAAGATACAAGAATGAGGACCCAGCGTGGTGGCTCACGCCTAATCCCAGCACTTTGGGAGGCTGGGGTGGGTTCATCACGAGGTCAGGAGATCGAGACAATCCTGGCTAATATGGTGAAACCCCATCTCTACTAAAAATACAAAAAATTAACTGGGCATGGTGGCAAGTGCCTGTAGTCCAAGCTACTCAGGAAGCTGAGGCAGAAGAATCACTTGAACCTGGGAAGCAGAGGTTGCAGTGAGCTGAGATCGTGCCACTGTACTCCAGCCTGGGTGACAGAAGGAGACTCCATCTCAAAAAAAAAAAAAAAAAAGAAAGAAAAATAGGATATAAGAATGAGGTCATGTTCCAAGGAATAAAGGTGGCCCCTGGATGCTGAAAAAAATCAAGTAATAGATTCTGCCACATAGCCCTCAGAAAGACTGCAGCCCTGCCCAAAACTTGATGTTAGCCCTGTGAGTTTCATTTAAGGCTTCTGAACTACAGAACTGTAGGATTAACGGTCACTTTATTGTAAGATATGAAGTTTGTGGTAATTGGTTACAGCAGCAAGAGGAAGTTTATACTGTAATTGTATCATGAAAATGAGAACCATAATTTACAACTGCTTTTAATACTGCACTTGGATGTTTGAAATCACATACATGGAAATGATCTCTATGTGCAGGAGGGAGGATAGCAAATTGATGCCAAAATAATGCAAATGCAAATCTTACACTCATTTCTATGTAGGTTTCATTTAATCTTTGAAATTAAAATGAAATTAAAAGATTGTGATATTTTGATGAAATTAGACTGAAATGAACAATAGCAAAATAAGAACTTACTTATATTCTTTATATGGTCAATAAAGAAGTGATAGTGGAAAAAAAACAAGATCAAATGAAGGTGATGATTTAGGAAGTTGGAAAGATAGCTGAAACTACAAAATGGTATATAACCAGTGAACACTTAGACACACTGATTGATGAACTACAGCTTTTGGCTTGGTGAGAGCATAAAATGAGAGCAGCTGAGGTTTGCAAATTTGTAATCTCCTTGTGGAAAAACAGGGGAAAACACATCTCAGCCTAATAAGATTTATCTACTAAAGAGTCTAGACTTGATCCATTTGTCCTTGTAATTCAAAAGCTAATTCAAATACTGATTTGATGTATTGTGTGAACAACCATTGCTGATTATCATCGCATACCTGGCATTCTCTTTTATCTGATATCTAAAATATTTGGTAATTCCTGGACTTTCTCTTTTCAAACCCAGTACGGATTAATTTGAGTCTTAGAACAGTTGTCTTTGAGAAATTCTTCCCTCTACTGCATCTGTGAATGGGCATAGCATGGTTACGTACATACTGTCACTCCATAGAACATTTGTTAAATTAAAGCCAAAGTTTAAAGCAAGAGCTTTAACTTACTGGTTTTACTAATGTTTTCCTCCCCAATAGCCACAACAATATTGATACCCTCACACCTTTTAACATAAAGCTTGGTGTTGTCTATTTTTCAGGTGCTGTCATCTATATGATCTCAGTATTTTAAAAATCAGCTTCCAGCCCATGTGGTGGTTCATGCTTGTAATACCAGCAGTTGAAGAGGCTTAAATGAGAGGATTCCTGGAGCCCAGGAGTTCAAAAGCAACCTGGGCAACCTAGCAAGACCCAGTCTCTATCAAAAGTTAAAAAAAAAAAGTGGGCATGGTGATGTGCACCTGTTGTCCTAGCTATTTTGGAGGCCAAGGTGGAAGGATCGCTTGAGCTTGGGAGGCTGAGGCTGCAGTGAGCAGTGATTGCACCACTGCATTCCAGCCTGGGCAACAAAGCAAGACCCTATCTCAAAAAATATATAATAAAAATGAACATCAGTTCTCATTGATTTCTATGTAAATATGCACAGATGATGTCCATATAGACATAAATAATAATATTTCTGACAATGGGTCCATATGATCTTCAAAATCTAAAGTGCCTATCTGTGTAATTGACTGGTTAGTCTCATTAATGAATATAGATTCAATTCTACTTTCTTGTTCTAGATAAATTATATAATCTAGCTTTTCATTTCACTTATTTACTGATAACAACAGGAAGAATGACAAGATATCTATTTTGGAAAATTACTCTGGTAGGAGTAAAGATGAAACAATGATAGAATTGCATGGAAAACTAGAAAAAAGTATGGTCTTCTGATATTCTATCACATCACATACTAAAGGCCTCATAAAACTCAGACATATTATCTAAAAATGTTATTTTCATCATAGGAATGATCAAAGCATGAGACTACAATTGTATTACATTGTGCTTGTATCACAATGTGCTTGTATCACAAGCACAGGTGCTAAAAAGGAGGGGAAAACATCATTACTGATATTTTCAACGTATGTTTTACCCTCCATCAACATGAACTTCAACTTTATATGATGCAGATTGAAGGAAATCACCCATAATTCCATAGAAAGAAGGCCTGTGATATTTTATGGGAAAATAAATAGAGAAAATGCTAACAGAAACCCTATTAAGCATGAAGCTTTATGGAGCAAACACAAATCCAGTGGTGAAAGATACACACTCGAGTTCTGTTTGTTGTCTTGGAACAATATGTTTTAGGGGCGACTGGCGGGTGAGGAGAACATACGCGAGTTCACCAAAAAGAAAAGCTGAATGAGGCAATGCCTCTTCCTGACCATATCTCTTACTCAGATAACGATATAATTTATTGTCCAGTAAAGGGTATATTGAAAAATCATATTAAAAGTCATGGAGTGAAGTTGTCCAGGGAAATCAAGACTTAACAGTCTCACTCTGACAACAATGAACAGGGGGGTTCCCTCGAGATAGACTAGGACATGACCCCACACTGGCAGGTAGTAGTACCAGAAAAGAACCCATGGAAAATCTTTACCTTATGCTTGAGGTAGGGTCCAGGCTAAAGTGAAAGCCAGACATAAAATTCTATCTAAAATATATCCACAACTGAAGAAAATATGTGGTGTACAGGCATAGAATGTCTTTACTGGATCATTGAAATAGTAAGATAAATTCAACATTTTACATTGTTTTCTTTTACTGCAGTTAGGGCTTGAGGTTTGTCTCTGGAGAGTGACTGTCAATTGGAGCCCTGCCTTTCTGGGGTTCTGGTCAGGGGGTTGTGGATGCTTAACATGTGCCTTTCATAGGGCACTTCCTTGCCCCAGCAGTGGCCAGGTTCGCATCCCACGACCAGGCCTCCCTCTCACAGAACATCTGTTGAGACTAGGAGATGCCTGGTGACTGTTGCCTGACCTATGTCCTGTGTATTTCTGACAAGAGCCACTCTCAGAGACCCTGGCCAGGAGGAGAGTTAGGTTCCAGTGTAGGTCAGATCAGAGACATGGAGGCCACAGGAACAAACATGGGAAATCACAGAAGTAGGTTTATTACTCACAGATCCAGAGAGAAGAGGGTAGCTGAGAAGAGGGTTTAGCTGTGTCCCCAGCCAAATCTCATCTTGAATTCCCACATGTTGTGGGAGGGAACAGGTGGGAGGAAATTGAATCGTGGGGGCAGGTCTTTCCCATGCTGTTCTTCTGATAGTGAATAAGTCTCACAAGATCTGATGGTTTTACAAAGAGGAGTTTCCCTGCACAAGCTCTCTTTTCTTGTCTGCTGCCATGTGAGACGTGCCTTTCACCTTGCACCATGATTGTGAGGCCTACCCAGCTATGTGGAACTGTGCGTCTATTAAACCTCTTTCTTCTGGAAATTACCCAGTCTTGGGCATGTCTTTACTGGCGGTGTGAAAATGGACTAATACAGTAGCACACCTTACAAGGCTGAACAAAATGGGGAAGATGAGTGGGGAGCTGGAGAGAGAAAAGGGTCTGTGGGACTCCAGACTTCATTGGGCCCAGAACATTACCCAAATAAGTTTTCCACGGGGCACTAGTCGGTGGGGTGAGTGCCAGCAGGCACATTTCTTGACTCCCGCTGCAACCGAGCAGGTCGCTCTGGCGTGTGGGGGCTGTCCATGTGCGCTGTGAGGTCTGTGGGGTGAGTCAGGTAGGTTGTATCCAACGGTTCCATAGCTGGTAGTCACCAGGAGGAGGCAACTGTGTAGGGTCAATATCTGGGCCAGCCACACTGAGGAACTGTGAGGGTTAGAACTGGAAATTGTCAAGGGAATCTGAACCCAGCTACCATATGAGAGAGTTCAACTTATGTTCAATGTGAATGCCATGGCAATATTACAAGGTAAGAATTCGCTCCATACGTGCTTGAGGTAAATAGGAGAAACCTAGAATTTATGTAAACAGTGAGAAGATTGGATGCGTTTTCCGTCACATATTTTAATACTAGCAGCATATTATATATGTCAATCCATCAGGCATTCAGAAATACATGCTTATGAAAATTTTTTGCACCATCAGACAAAAGACAAGGGTAGAAGACATTTGTAACCCTATAAACACTAGTAAATTAAAAACAGAAAGACCTTTATGTCCTAACATATCTGTGTTGTGAAAGGCTGCCCTGTGAAATACGGGATTTCTTAAACATATTTTAAAAATCATAGGTGTCAATATTTTTTAGAAATCCATTTAAATTTTCTCTTGCTATTTTACAATGCCTATTTATTTATTTAGTGGCTCTGCTGATTTTGATGAATATCCTAAACTTTACATTTTCCTTAAAGGATGTTTTATACAACTTTATGTAAAATGTTTCAGTATCTTCACATTCTCTCCCTGTCCTTTTGTTTTGCTCTTATATGGTGGTTTTGAGTCTTTTTTCTGGCTTTTCAAACCTAGTAAGACTAAGACACTAAAGTAACTTTTCCCGTGGTTTGGTAATGCCTTCTAAAGCACATCCTAAGCTCTCGTGCATACAGCGGTCTCCTTTGAGCTCTGTGCTTTTGAGATCCCATATACCTAAATTCCAGTACTCCAAATCAGTACTGCTCAGTTTTAGTTGCTAAGTTTAAAAGTGTATTTTAAAAGCAAGTTAGTTTAGTGCACTCTTGCTTCTTTCTTGACTGCTTGTATATATGTATATTCCTTTAAATGAATCTTGGAATTTATTTAAAAATTTTAAATTATACTAATGAAACTGTATATTGTTGTGAATTCATAGGTGAATTTGGAAAGAATTTGTCTTTATGATACTAAATCCTTTTAATCCAAGAATCATATGTGCCTTTATATTTATTCCAGTCTATATTTATATCAGAGTAAATATATAGAAATGTAGATACATACAGCTGTAGTTACAGATACAAATATAGATATAACATGTTAAATCTATATCTATCCCATATAACATATATACATGTTATATGTGTGTGTGTATATATATATGTTTATGTTGTTAAAGAGCTCCCTTAAAATTTTTCTTTTCTTTCCTATATAATTTTAGGTCAAGCTTGAATTTTCCTTGTATAAACAAGCAAATATTTATACTAGTTTTAATACTGGTGTTTAGACATACTATCTTATTTTAGCATTGAATATTTTCACAATTATTATAAATATTATCTAATATTAATAATGTACCTGTTAAAAATAGTTAAAATTTTACCTTTGAATTATTTTATTGTTGAATTTAAATTCCTTTAATATGATAGTAAATTTCTATTTTATGCTTTCTCTATGCATATGCAAATTAATCTATCCACTTCTCTATCTCTATGTAGTAACACATGAAAATCAGGCCTCTCTTCTTGTAGTGGACATACACATATTTGCATATAGAATATCAGACTCTTTAGAGCATTTAAAATCTTTAAAGTCATGAATATTGCCTTTTAATAAATATATTTTAGCATGTACTGAGAATCCCCTATTTATTTTTAATTTGTGCTAATCAACATGATTATTAATATTATTGGATTACCAAATTTGGAAACACACTTTCATCTCCAAGGTGGATATTTGTTTTATTTTTTGCCAATTTCTTGTCTTACTCTTTCAAATATTGTTGGATATTATTTTTATTTTATTTGGCATTTTAGTATCAACATTGGTAATTGATGTACTCTACATATTTTTTCTTCGATATCTGGTGGGTTTTATAATTACTGCTATATTGGATTTGTAGTAGACATTGACAAAAATTATTCCTGTATGTTTTATAACTGTATGAAGGAAACTAATATATTTTACCCCTAAATATATTTCCTTGATATATTTCAAAATGGCTATTGAGAAGGGCTGGAAATGCTAACATAGCTGCAAAGCTGTCTTGGGGAGATTTGCATTGGTAGAGAATCTGCCTTGATGCAGCCAGGCTTTCTCTGAGGTCTGCCCCCTTGTCTGGATCTAGGAAAGGTTAACTGAGAGTCTGAGGTCTCCAAAGGTCTGAAAGAAACATTTTCTGTCCATTCTCTCTGAGGACTGCTCCCAGTGAGGTTCCACCTATGTAATAAGTCCACTCTTGCTAGCCAGGGTCGTTTTCTCACATAACCTTTTTTTTTTTTTCCCTGTGATCCAAGACCCCATTCTTTCTGTAAACTTCATGTGGTAGATAAGCTTCTGCACGCATCGTGTGTCTGGGTCTTCGTTCTAAGGGCTCCAGTGTACACACATTGCAGAAACCTGTATGCCTTTTCTACTATGTATCTGCCTCCTATTAGTGATTTTCAGGGAAACTTCAGAAGGCAAAAGGGACATTCTCCTTTAGCCCATTCTCAGACAAAATCCCCCAACATTTAACTGATTCCTAATAGCTTAAAATAACTTTGAAAAATCCATATATTTATAACCTTTTCTTGGGTTTTGTTTTTCATTCCATTTACTTCATCCTCGAAAAGATCTATTTTACGTCTATTTATTCTCATTTATGGACATTGAGAAAAGAAAATAACTTTCATGTGAGAAATGCAAGTCCTTTTAAATAATCAGGCCCAGAGAGATATTCAAATGAGACAGCAGTTCTGTCCTGCTCCTCTTTGAGCTGTGTGTTCATCTAGGCTGCTTGCTGTTGCCACAGTAGCTATAAATTAACCAATAACGCCACACCAGACACTATAATCCACACCCAATAATAGTGTAACAGTGTATAGCCAGTCACTAATAAATGTTATTTCCATAAGCCAATGAGAATTTGTGACAAACCTCTTTGGATCATCCCACTTCTGGACCCTTTTTTGCCTTTAAGAAACTGCTTGTTGCAAAGCTCCAAAGGGAGTTCATATCCAAGGATACTTGGGTCTGTTTCTTCCAGGCAGCTGTCCTCATCGTGGCTCAAGTAAACTCTTTGAATTACGTTTTGTGCTTCAGCCCCTTCCACTTAGATTAACAACATGGATTTGTGTCACCATGTACGGCAATTAAAATGTTCACACTTTTCCCCTCGAGGGCACTGATGTGTTTTCCTGAGCACTTGGAATAGCTACGTAGTGTTTACTGTCTAGATTATGGTTTCTCAACCTTGGTGCTACTCACCTTTAGGACCAGAGGATTCTTTGTTGTGGGAGGCTTCCCTAGCAATGCTAGGTGTTTCGTTTGACCTCTACATTTCACACCTCCACCAGTCTTGACATCCCCACAATAACCCTAGACATTGACAAATGTCTCCTGGGGAAAACTCTCCACAAGTTGACAGTCAAAGTTCTGGAAATATTGGAACTGTCAATTGAGATTTTATGTTATCCAAAACAAATATTTTTCTTTGTTTTTAAACATCTACTTCCATCTACTTATCTACTTATTTTTACTTTTATTTGTAACTTAATTCCATGAAGGAGAGAGAGTGCATTTTCTGTTATGCTAAATTTTTGAAGAATGTATTGATTTTTTCTGACCTGATATATGGATGATATGTAGATAGTACATGTTTGTATTATCAAATTTCAGGACGATAATAAAATAAATACTTATAATATTTATATTGTCACTGTATATTAGTTATTTTCTTTCTTCACTACAGGAGTTTTTCAACCTATAGGCTATTTTTCAATTCTAGGTTATCCAGTAGATTTTGAAATGTTATGATTAATTATCTACTTCTCAAGCATTCATCTTTGCAAATGAAACAATCCCAAGCTCTTATAATGCACATCATATAAAGGGCAGATTAGTCAATATATGGTTCAGAAATAATTATGTAATATTTATAAGAAAATTACAAATTTAGATCCTTAACTCAGATAACAATAATCCAAATTAAAATTTGATTTCATTACATAATGTAAAATGACACCAGAATACTAGTAAAAATGTAGATAAGTTTATATAATCTTTTTCAGCTGTAGGACTTCATTAGCATAAATTCAAATACAGGAATCAAAGTAAGATTGAGACCTATTGTCGAAGGTTAAAATGTACACATTATAGGGGCATGATTAAACTAATTTAAAGCATAATATCATGGAGAAATATTGCAAAACATACATTTTACTGAATTAATTGTTAATATCTAATCATTATGTGAGAACAAAATTAAAGAGTAGCTACACATCCACACACCGACACACAAGGGCAATATTGTCAAATAAAAGATGTGCAGCTACACTAGAAATCACACCTGTGTTTTCTTCACAGAAGAGTAAAGATTAAAAATCACAATAATATTTATTGTACATATGGAGGTAAAGATACTCAAAATATTACCCTAAAATACATTTTTTTTGAGATGGAGTTTTGCTTTTATTGCCCAGGCTGAAGTGCAATGGCACAATCTTGGCTCACTGCAACCTCAGCCTCCCAGGGTCAAGTAATTCTCCTAGCTCAGCCTCCCAAGTAGCTGAGATTACAGGCATGCACCACCACACTTGGCTAATTTTTTGTATTTAGTAGAGACGGGGTTTCCCTATGTTGGTCAGGCTGGTCTCCAACTCCTGACTTCAGGTGATCTACCCACTTCAGTCTCCCAAAATGCTGGGACTACAGGTGTTCGCCTGGGCAGCTTTTTGACGTATTTCAAGATGGCTGCTCGGAAGACTGGAGGTAGAGAAAATCTGCATTGATATAGACAGGCTTTCCCTGAGATACTCCCTTGTCTGGGTTTAGGAAAGATTAACTGAGCCTGGCACGTTTATATTTCTAAAAACCATTTCCAAAAACCATTTCCTATCTATACTTCCCAAGGGAGGGCTGCTCCCTGTGAGGTTTCATCCATGTAACAAGACCACCTCTGCTGCCAGACTCCTCTTTCTTCCTTGTCGTCACCTGTCTTCCGCAAAGCCTGATTTACCAACCTACAGCTCTGTGTTTTCTGTAACCTCAAGACAGCATAGGCCTGTTGACTACCTTGCCTTTCCTGGAGTTTTTATATATATAGTATATATTTGTATATCTATTTATAATATACAAATATTTGTATAGATATATTTATATATATTATGTAAACTCCAAGTGCATACTTGTGCACATATCTGTAAACCTTTTTTTCCTGTTAATTTGTACATTATCAGTTTGTTTTATAGACTCAAATAATTAAAGCTTCAAGGGAAAAATTTAAAATTTCCTATAGAGAAAAGACAAATATGTAGGTGACAAATAATATTTAGAGTGTAAGACTCTTTTTAAAGGTATATTTGCAATTTGTGTCAAAACATTTAAATATACATTTGTTATTTTAACTATAAAATTTCAAATAATTTAAGCCAAATACATAGTATATGCAGAAAATTTAGCAATATATCTATGTAGCACCTTACTGTGCATTACTGTAACCAGCCATCTAATATAAAGAATTAATTAAGGTAGCACCTACTTTTCAAATAGCGCATTTTTTCACAGACCTATTAAATGAGACAAATAACATTTAGACTTTACTTTTAAATGTGCAGAATAGTAGTTTTCAGCAGATGGTTTATTTTAGCAAATTCCATCTTCACATTGTGCTATGCTTTTATGAGTTCCAGCTGTTAACGGATACTATTTTACTGCTGAAACTATCATGTGTGATGTAATTGCTCATCATGTGCCTTAAAACACAAGGAATATAATTATTTTCAACTTGGAGCAAATTAAAATCTTATCAACAATTTAAAAACTCTAGAGTCGTCTTCTTCTGGTTAATTGTTTTAAACTTGTATTTTTCTCTTTATGTTTTTAGTGAGTTGTCTTATCAAGGAGAAGAACTCAAGCTGCTTATTCTTTTTTTTCTCTTCCATCCACCTCGCAGGTGTGTTAATAATTTCATTTCTCAGAAAATGTTCTTTCATATCCATCTTACAAGATGAGAGACCTTTTAACATCTTCCATTCGGATGTGATACCAGTAATGGAAAATATTCCAGCTTCATGAATATGGTGATACAAATAGTTATCCGTCTAACCTCTTTCAGTGCCAAATGTTTACTTAACTCAGTGAATTACTCAGTTGACTGGTAATTTCTTCTGAAATTGCTAATGAGAGGATCAGAGGTCTGGCTGTTGTCTGTACCTCATATGACTCCCAGTGCAGACAATTGTTTCTATGGAGCACAGACAGTTGAAAGGACTGACTTCCTGCCTGGAATAGTTTCTGCTGTGCTTCTTATCCTTCTTGTGGAGATTTCAGATTATCTGAATTGCTTTTCTAACTTAAGAAAAAACGCAACAATTCTCCCACATGAGAGGAATGTAAACTGTAGTAAGTTAGCAGAACCAATCCGTAAAGTTTTTACATTGTTTGTTGCAAAATGCAGCGCTGGTGTCTCCATCACTAACCTTTTCTATCCCTCAATGCTCTTTCTTTGACTGCAACAGGATACCTCTAGGCAAATCTGTATTCCCGAGACAGAGTGCCCTTTTGGTGAGCTATAAGCACACTCAATGGTAGGCTGAAATACTAGCTTTTATCTATGGCGAAATGGAATCATATCGGTGATTTTTTTTAAAAGGAAATTTAACTCTTGCTATGGTTTGAATGCTTGCCCCTTCCAATCTCAGGTTAAAATTTGATCCCCAATATTGCAGGTGGGGCTTACTGGGAGGTGTTTGGTCATGGGGTTCGACCTTCATGAATGGATAATACCCTCCCTTAGGAATCTAAAGCTATCCTCCCTCCTCGGTGCCCTCAGGAATGAGTGTACCATTCTTTATTCACCTGTAATTCCCCCACCCATCCTTTTTGAGATATTAATTACATGTATGTTACACTGCTGCATATTGTCTGACGTATCAGTGAGTTTCTGGCTTTCTTATTTTAGTTTACCCTTTGTCCTTTAGTTTGTAAAGCTTCTATTTTGTTCTATAAATTTTCTGATGTTAGGGTAAAATCCATTACTTATTCTATCTCATGGAATTTTTATTTAAAATATTTATTTTTCATCTATACATGTCATATTTTTCATTTTATAACTTCTATTTTTCTCCTATGTTCAATTTTCATTTAAGTACCTTGACATATATATGTATTTATCTATATGTATTTATAAAATATATTTACTTTAAGGACCTTGAAATTTCCTTCTTTTCTGTCATTTATAAATGACTTATTTTTATCCTGTTAATATATATCTTAATTATATATATCTTACGGCTTCTTTGCATGTCAGAGTTTTTTTTGGGGGGGGGGTATTTTGGTGTTATGCTATTGAATATCTAGATTTGATTGGCTACCTTTGAACAATGTTGTGGCAGGCAGTTCAGTAACTTCAGGATGAGTATTTTTCTGTTGTTGCTTTAAATCTCCTCTTTAAAATTTGTTGAGTTAGTCTAGAGCCATCTGTAATTTGGAGCTAAATGAGCACTGTCACTAGGGCATGAACCTCCAGTGGTCTTTACTGAATATCCTGGAGGTACAGAGGGGATTCCCATCTCTGGCTGGTCACAACTAACGTGTCTTCCTGTCATGTGATGCCAGGGAAGTGTTCTTCTTCCAACTCCCTGGTAGAGTCTTTTGCTGAGCTCCTTAGAATTTCATCCTATGTACATTTGGCTTAGGGACTTGGGAGAATCCTTAGGCTGATTCTTGGTTCCTTTTTCTGTAAACGTTCTCTTCTACTACACATTCCAGCTACTTAACCTTTTTTGATTTTTATCTGGTTCCTCAGTGCAATGACAATGTCTGCTGTCTCTGGGATTCTTCTCTACTGCTGTCACGGAGAATCTGGGAATAATGCAGGACTCATTCTGGCTCCTTCTCTTCTCTTGCAGAGCACAGTCCTGCGCTGCCGATGTTCAGTACTTCAAAAAAATGTTTCATATATTTTGTCCTGTTTACTATTCTTTAACTCGAAAAGAGTAACTCCAGTCCAAGTTACAGCATCATGTTCTGTAACTCTACTCCTTGTTGCTTCATTCTGCCATTGTCTGGTATGATCTCCCCTTTCCCTTCTGTAATCAGGCCAAGAGCATAATATAATACTAGTTAAAACTGCACAGCTTGCCTCCGTTGTGTAAAAAAATCACTGAGACTTAACTGTGTCCAACTTTTAAAATGTGAATATAAGTACAACTAAAGCTATATTTTGGTTAATATTTGCATTGCATGCTTTTCCATTATTTACTTTCAACATATGTGAAATATGAATATAAATTATAAAAACTTTAAGAGAGTCCATTTAAAAAATCTGGTCTGGTTATATTTTACCTGGTTTAATACAACGTGTATTCTTGGATTCAGGGTCTAATGTAATTGGTCCATTTGTCTATTTGCAAAAAAAAAAAAAAAAAAAAAAAAACTTGACAATATTTTAAAATTAATTTATCCAACTCACAACTTATATGCTTCTGCCATTGTACGGAAGATATATTTTAAACTTTATGAGATAGCATTCTGTTATACAGTCGATATCCAATTAAATTTCTCTCTATGTTTATTTCTTTCATTAAAAAAATTGTTCTTCTAAATGCAAATTTTCATCAGGGATCATGGCTCTTCTACCTGAAGAATAATGTTTAGTATTTCTTTTCCTGTGTGTCTGCTTGGGAGAAATTCTTTATTGTATCTTTGTTTTGATGGATATGTCCACCAAGTAGACAGTTCTAGGTCAGCACTTATTTTATTTCAGGACTTGAAAGATATCAGTACCTCACTTGTTGGCTTTCGTTGTTTCATTTGAGAAAGTTGTTATCAGTCAACTCTTTCTCTTTGTAGTTAGTCCAATTTTTTTTTTTTTATCAAGTGCTCTTTACATTTTTCTTTTACTTTTCAGAAATTGCCCCATTATGTTTCTAGATGTGTCCTCTGTGTGTGTTTTCCTTTGCTTTGAAAAGTCTCCTGAACCTGAGGTTTAATATTATTGGTCAATTTTGATAAAACCTCTAACATTGCCACTTAAAATGCTGTTCAGACAAGCTGTTTTCTCCTTCTTAGATTTCAACGTGTTAGATTATTACTCTATCCTTCATATTTTTTAAATGACCTTTCTCTACTATTTTTTTAAGTTGGTTAATGTGTATTAGTGTATATTTTGTTTTTTTATTTTATTTTATTTTATTATCATACCTTAAGTTTTAGGATACATGTGCACAATGTGCAGGTTTTTAACATAAGGGTTCATGTGCCATGTTGCTGTGCTGCACCCATTAACTCGTCATTTAGCATTAGGTATATCTCCTAATGCTATCCCTCCCCACTCCCCCCACCCCACAACAGTCCCCGAAGTGTGATGTACCCCTTCCTGTGTCCGTGTGTTCTCATTGTTCAATACCCACCTATGAATGAGAACATGTGGTGTTTGGTTTTTTCTCCTTGCGAGAGTTTACTGAGAATGATGATTTCCAGTTTCATCCATGTCCCTACATAGGACATGAACTCATCATTTTTTATGGCTGCATAGTACTCCATGGTGTATATGTGCCACATTTTCTTAATCCAGTCTATCGTTGTTGGACATTTGGGATGGTTCCAAGTCTTTGCTATTCTGAATACTGCCGCAATAAACATATGTGTGCATGTGTCTTTATTGCAGCATGATTCATAGTCCTTTGTGTATATACCCAGTAATGGAATGGCTGGGTCACATGGTATTTCTAGTTCTAGATACTTGAGGAATCGCCACACTGACTTCCACAATGTTTGAACTAGTTTACAGTCCCACCAACAGTGTAAAATTGTTCCTATTTCTCCACATGCTCTCCAGCACCTGCCGTTTCCTGACTTTTTAATGATCGCCATTCTAACTGGTGTGAGATGGTATCTCATTGTGGTTTTGATTTGCATTTCTCTGATGGCCAGTGATTATGAGCATTTTTTCATGTGTTTTTTGGATGCATAAATGTCTTCTTTTGAGAAGTGTCTGTTCGTGTTCTTCACCCACTTTTTGATGGGGTTGTTTGTTTTTTACTTGTAAATTTGTTTGAGTTCATTGTGGATTCTGGTTATTAGCCCTTTGTCAGATGAGTAAGTTGCAAAAATTTTCTCCCATTTTGTAGGTTGCCTGTTCACTCTGATGGTAATTTCTTTTACTGTGCAGAAGCTCTTTAGTTTAATTAGATCCCATTTGTCAATTTTGGCTTTTGTTCCCATTGCTTTTGGTGTTTTAGACATGAAGTCCTTGCTCACGCCTATGTCCTGAACGGTATTGCCTAGGTTGTCTTCTAGGGTTTTTATGGTTTTAGGTCTAACATGTAAGTCTTTGATCCAACTTGAATTAATTTTTGCATAAGGTGTAAGGAAGGGATCCAGTTTCAGCTTTCTACATATGGCTAGCCAGTTTTCCCAGCACCATTTATTAAATAGGGAATCCTTTCCCCATTTCTTGTTTTTCTCAGGTTTGTCAAAGATCAGACAGTTGTAGTTATGCGGCATTATTTCTGAGGGCTCCGTTCTGTTCCATTGATCTATGTCTGTGTTTTTGTACCAGTAACATGCTGTTTTGGTTACTGTAGCCTTGTAGTATAGTTTGAAATCGGGTAGCGTGATGCTTTGTTCCTTTGGCTTAGGATTGACTTGGCAATGCGGGCTCTTTTTTGGTTCCACATGTACTTTAAAGACGTTTTTTCAAATTCTGTGAAGAAAGTCATTGGTAGGTTGATGGGTATGGCATTGAATCTATAAATTACCTTGGGCAGTATGGCCATTTTCACGATATTGATTCTTCCAACCCATGAGCATGGAATGTTCTTCCATTTGTTTGTATCCTCTTTTATTTCATTGAGCAGTGGTTTGTAGTTCTCCTTGGAGACGTCCGTCATGTCCCTTGTAAGTTGGGTTCCTAGGTATTTTATTCTCTTTGGAGCAATTGTGAATGGGAGTTCCCTCATGATTGGGCACTCTGTTTGTCTGTTATTGATGTACAAGAATGCTTGTAATTTTTGTACATTGATTTTGTATCCTGAGACTTTGCTGGAGTTGCTTATCAGCTTAAGGAGGTTTTGCGCCGAGACAATGGGGTATTCTAGATATACAATCATGTCATCTGCAAACAGGGACAATTTTACTTCCTCTTCTCCTAATTGAATACCCTTTGTTTCCTTCTCCTGCCTGATTGCCCTGGCCAGAACTTCCAACACTATGTTGAATAGGAGCGGTGACAGAGGATATCCCTGTCGTGTGCCAGTTTTCAAAAGGAATGCTTCCAGTTTTTGCCCATTCAGTATGATATTGGCTGTGGGTGTGTCATAGATAGCTCTTATTATTTTGAGATACTTCCCATCAATACCTAATTTATTGAGAATTCTTAGCATGAAGGGCTGTTGATTTTGTCAAAGGCCTTTTCTTCTTCTATTGAGAAAATCATGTGGTTTTTGTCTTTGGTTAGGTTTATATGCTGGATTACGTTTATTGATTTGCATATGTGGAACCAGCCTTGCATCCCAGGGATGAAGCCCACTTCATCATGGTGGATAAGCTTTTTGATGTGCTGCTGGATTCGGTTTGCAGGATTTTATTGACGATTTTTGCATCAATGTTCATGAAGGATATTGGTCTAAAATTCTCTTTTTTGGTTGTGTCTCTGCCCGGCTTTGGTATCAGGATGATGCTGGCCTCATAAAATTAGTTAGAGAGGAATCCCTCTTTTTCTATTGACTGGAATAGTTTCAGAAGGAATGGTACCAGTTCCTCCTTGTACCTCTGGTAGAATTCGGCTGTGAATCCATCTGGTCCTGGACTCTTTTTGGTTGGTAACCTATTGATTATTGCCACAATTTCAGAGCCTGTTATTGGTCTATTCAGAGATTCAACTTCTTCCTTGTTTAGTCTTGGGAGACTGTATGTGTCAAGGAATTTATCCATTTCTTCTAGATTTTCTAGTTTATTTGCATAGAGGTGTTTGTAGTTGTCTGTGATTGTAGATTGTATTTCTGTGGGATCGGTGGTGATAACCCCTTTATCATTTTTTGTTGCATCTATTTGATTCTTCTCTCTTTTCTTCTTTATTAGTCTTCCTAGTGGTCTATCAATTTTGTTGATCTTTTCAAAAAAACAGCTCCTGGATTCATTAATTTTTTGAAGGGTTTTTTGTGTCTCTATTTCCTTCAGTTCTGCCCTGATTTTAGTTATTTCTTGCCTTCTGCTAGCTTTTGAATGTGTTTGCTCTTGCTTTTCAAGTTCTTTTAATTGTGATGTTAGAGTGTCAATTTTGGATCTTTCCTGCTTTCTCTTGTGGGCATTTAGTGCTATAACTTTCCCTCTACACACTGCTTTGAGTGTGTCCCAGAGATTCTGGTATGTTTTGTCTTTGTTCTCGTTGGTTTCAAAGAACATCTTTATTTCTGCCTTCATTTTGTTATGTACCCAGTGGTCATTCCGGAGCAGGTTGTTCATTTTCCATATAGTTGAGCGGTTTTGAGTGAGTTTCTTGATCCTGAGTTCTAGTTTGATTGCACTGTGGTGTCAGAGACAGTTTGTTATAATTTCTGTTCTTTTACATTTGCTGAGGAGAGCTTTACTTCCAACTATGTGATCAAGTTCGGAATGGGTGTGGTGTGGTGCTGAAAAAAATGTATATTCTGTTGATTTGGGGTGGAGAGTTCCATAGATGTCTATTAGGTGCGCTTGGTGCAGAGCTGAGTTCAATTCCTGGGTGTCCTTGCTAACTTTCTGCCTCGTTGATCTGTCTAATGTTGACAGTGGCGTGATAAAATCTCCCCTTATGATTGTGGGGGAGTCTAAGTCTCTTTGTAGGTCACTCAGGACTTGCTTTATGAATCTGGGTGCTCCTGTTTTGGGTGCATATATATTTAGGATAGTTAGCTCTTCTTGTTGAATTGATCCCTTTACCATTATGTAATGGCCTTCTTTGTCTCTTTTGATCTTTTTTGGTTTAAAGTCTGCTTTATCAGAGACTAGGATTGCAACCCCTGCCTTTTTTTGTTTTCCATTTGCTTGGTAGATCTTCCTCCATTGCTTTATTTTGAGTCTATGTGTGTCTCTGCATGTGAGATGGGTTTCCTGAATACAGCACACTGATGGGTCTTGTCTTCTTATCCAATTTGCCAGTCTGTGTCTTTTAATTGGAGCATTTAGCCCATTTACATTTAAAATTAATATTGTTATGTGTGAATTTGATCCTGTCATTATGATGTTAGCTGGTTATTTTGCTCGTTAGTTGATGCAGTTTCTTCCTAGTCTTGATGGTCTTTACAATTTGGCATGTTTTCGCAGTGGCTGGTACCAGTTGTTCCTTTCCATGTTTAGTGCTTCCTTCAGGAGCTCTTTTAGGGCAGGCCTGGTGGTGATAAAATTTCTGAGCATTTGCTTGTCTGTAAAGGATTTTATTTCTCCTTCACTTATGAAGCTTAGTTTGGCTGGATATGAAATTCTGGGTTGAAAATTACTTTCTTTAAGAATGTTGAATATTGGCCCCCACTCTCTTCTGGCTTGAAGAGTTTCTGCTGAGAGATCAGCTGTTAGTCTGATGAGCTTCCCTTTGTGGGTAACCGGACCTTTCTCTCTGGCTGCCCTTAACATTTTTTCCTTCATTTCATCTTTGGTGAATTTGACAATTATGTGTCTTGGAGTTCCTCTTCTTAAGGAGTATCCTTGTGGCGTTCTCTGTGTTTCCTGAATCTGAATGTTGGCCTGCCTTACTAGATTGGGGAAGTCCTCCTGGATAATATCTTGCAGAGTGTTTTCCAACTTAGTTCCATTCTCCCCGTCACTTTCAGCTACACCAATCAGACGTAGGTTTGGTCTTTTCACATAGTCCCATAATTCCTGGAGGCTTTGTTCATTTCTTCTTATTCTTTTTTCTCTAAACTTCCCTTCTCCCTTCATTTCATTCATTTCATCTTCCATCACTGATACCTTTTCTTCCAGTTGATTGCATTGGCTCCTGAGGCTTCTGCCTTCTTCACGTAGTTCTCGAAACTTGGCTTTCAGCTCCATCAGATCCTTTAAGCATTTGTCTGCATTGGTTATTCCAGTTATACACTCGTCTAATTGTTTTTCAAAGTTTTTAACTTCTTTGCTATTGGTTTGAATTTCCTCCTGTAGCTCACAGTAGTTTGATCATCTGAAGCCTTCTTCTCTCAAATCATCAAAGTTATTCTCTGTCCAGTTTTGTTGCTGGTGAGGAACTGCGTTCCTTTGGAGAAGGAGAGGCACTCTGCTTTTTAGAGTTTCCAGTTTTTCTGTTTTCTCCCTATCTTTGTGGTTTTATCAACTTTTGGTCTTTGATGATGGTGATGTACAGATGGGTTTTTGGTGTGGGTGTCCTTTCTGTTTGTCAGTTTTCCTTCTAACAGACACGACCCTCAGCTGCAGGTCTGTTGGAGTTTTCTAGAGGTCCACGCCAGATCCTGTTTGCCTGGGTATCAGCAGCGGTGGCTGCAGAACAGCGGATTTTCGTGAATCACAAATTCAGCTGTCTGATCATTCCTCTGGAAGTTTGGTCTCAGAGGACTACCCGGCCGAGTGAGGTGTCAGTCTGTCCCTACTCGAGGGTGCCTCCCAGTTGGGCTGCTTGGGGTTCAGTGACCCACTTTAGGAGGCAGTCTGCCCATTCTCAGATCTCCAGTTGCGTGCTGGGAGAACCACTACTCTCTTCAAAGTTGTCAGACAGGGACATTTAAGTCTGCAGAGGTTACTGCTGACTTTTTGTGTGTCTGTGCCCTGCCCCCAGAGGTGGAGCCTACAGAGGCAGGCAGGCCTCCTGGAGCTGTTGTGGGCTCCACCCAGTTCCAGCTGCCTGGCTGCTTTGTTTACCTAAGAAAGCCTGGGCAATGGCGGGTCCCACTCCACCAGCCTCGCTGCTGCCTTGCAGTTTGATCTCAGAGTGCTGTGCTAGCAATCAGCAAGACTCCATTGGCATAAGACCCTCTGAGCCAGGTGCGGGACACAATCTCCTGGTGTGCTGTTTTCCAAGCCTGTTGGAAAAGTACAGTATTAGGTTGAGAGTGACCCTATTTTCCAGGTGCAGTCTGTCACCCCTTTCTTTGACTAGGAAAGGGAACTCCCTGACCCCTTGTGCTTTCTGAGTGAGGCAATGCCTCGCCCTGCTTCGGCTCCCACATGGTGCACTGCATCCACTGTCCTGCACCCACTGTTTGGCACTCCCTTAGTGAGATGAACCCGGTACCTCAGATGGAAATGCAGAAATCACCCGTCTTCTGCGTCGCTCATGCTGGGAGCTGTAGACCAGAGCTGTTCCTATTCAGCCATCTTGGCTCCACCCCTCATTTCATTATTTCATCATTTCACTTCATTTTGTCATTTCATTTCATCATTTCATACCATTTCTTCATTTCATCATTTCATCTTTTCATTTCATTTCATCATTTCATTTCATTTCACCATTTCACTTCATCATTTCATTTCAGCATTTCATTTCATTTCCTCATTTCATTTCACCATTTCATTTCATCATTTCATTTCATCATTCCATTTCATCATTTCATCTTTTCATATCATTTCATCATTTCATTTCATTTCATTTCACCATTTCACTTCATCATTTCATTTCAGCATTTCATTTCATTTCCTCATTTCATTTCACCATTTCATTTCATCATTTCATTTCATCATTCCATTTCATCATTTCATCATTTCATTTCATTTCAGCATTTCATTTCATTTCACCATTTCATCTCATCTCATCATTTCATTTCATTTCATCATTTTGTCATTTCATTTCATTTCTTCATTTCATCATTTCGTTTCATCATTTCATCATTTCATTTCATTTCATGTCATCATTTCATCATTTCATTTCATTTCAGTGATACATGTATTTAAGTGCTAATGTGATGCCCAGGAGACACCCTATTTCCCTTTGTAAAACACCTCCTTCAACAGAAGTCAACCTCTCATGGCTGGCTAAGTCTACAGGGATACCAGCCTCTCTTCAACCACCCAATTTGATTCAGAACCTCAAACAGCACCTCAGTTTCATAAAAACCTAAAACATAAACACAACACTTGGTTGTAAGTGAGCCAACAGTTTCTTGTCTCTTTCTCTGCTCAAGGCTTAAGGCCGTGTCTACCCAACTATGTTCAGTGGAAGAAAAGATCCCCTGGACAAATAAGTTTGAGAACTGTTTTTGCAGGACTTCTCAGAACCTTTAAAACACAAATCGTCATCCGCAGGGATCTTCAGGAGGGAGATGGCTGATGCAGCACAAATTTCTTTCACAGGAGTATCTTGCAGAATACAGTATGAGACGCACAAAGGCTGCATTGAGTCTTTTTAAGGGACTGGGCCTTTGTGGCATTGGGGTAGGAGCTCTCCAGATAGCATCTAATGAGTAGAAACATTCAGGTTGCTTTTTTTTTCCTTACTGGCAAAACTGTGTGTGCATCATGAATGAAGCCGGTCTCCCTTATCCATATCAAAACTAAACCCCAATTAATTGGCTAAATTGGGACTCAACACCTCCAGGAGCCATGCGGAAGAAAGCCCCACCACACTTTAAAGTAGCTTACCTCATATTTGATGAAAGCAAAACGCTTATGACCAGTGTGCTGCTAATACAAGTCAACAGATAATGCTGTATGAAAAATTATTTTTCCCAATCATAGCTAGCATAGTCCACATTTTGCATTATACTTTCCCCCCCTTTTTTTAAATTTTAAACACTGGTCCTTTTCTTTCCTTTTTTTAAATATTAATTTAATTATACAAGACAGAGTCTCAGTATGTTGCCAAGGCTGGTCTTCAACTCCTGAGCTCAAGCGATACATCCGTCTCTGCCTCCCAAAGTGCTGAGATTACAGGCCTGAGACACTGTGCCTGGCCTTAAACACAAATCTTAATTCATTCTTACAATTATCCTGAGGTTAGAAAAATGGAAGGGGAAGAAAAATGGCAAGCAGGTAGGCTGACTTCGGCTTCATTATTTGGAAGGACAGTTTGCTCCATTAAAACACACTGCTGCCCACAAAAGCCAAGACAACAGAAACATACAGACATATAAATAGATTTTATATGTGACAGCGGTTTGAATGGAAACTTTTTCAATACAAATGACAAACAGCTGTCCTTGGGAATAAATGACAACGAATTTTTTTATCTCAACACCTGTCCTGAGAGCACGTCTCTACATCTCTACCTGCATTCTGGAGTCAGGGAGAAAGTCAAAACGGACGACAAGACACTAGATCAGCTGTGTCCAACCCTTTGACTACAAGGACTTTTCAGCCTATCTGTGGTGGTGGGTATCATGAAAATTATGCACAAACCTTTTTTTCTTTAAGCTCCTCAGCTATCATTAGCAGTAGTGTATTTTATCTGTGGCCCAGGAGCATTCTTCTTCCAATGTGGCCCTGAGAAGCCAAAAGACTGGACACCTGTGCACTAGATCAAAAGGCTACTCCTTCTGGAAGCAATTGTAAAGAATTTCTGACATTATCTTGACATGAAAACCAATCGATAGTGAGACAGAATGCAAAATCTTCAAGAATTTTTCTTGTTGGTTTTTCTTTTTTGAGTCAAGGTGTTGCGTGTGGCCCAGGCTGGAATACACTGGTGAGATCACAGCTCAGTGCAGGCTCAAGTGCTCCTCCCTCCTCAGCCACAGTAGTAGGTAGGACTACAGATGTGCACAACCACCCCTGGCTACTATTTTTTTTTTTTTTTTGTAGAGACGGGGTCTCACTATGTTGTCCAGATTGGTCTCAAACTCCTTGACTCAAGTGATCCAGGACAGGATAACAGGCGTGAGCCACCACACCTGGCCATGTGCATGAACTTTTAAGACAAACACAGGGCCCCACAAAAGTTAAGGTTTTCCCACCTAATTTCCAGGAGATCTTTTGGTGCAAGGATGAGAAACCCTTAAAAGTACACAGAAAACTCCAAAGATTCAAGAGAGTTCATTCGGGCTGAGCCAGCCCACTGGGCAGACTGACCTTCAAACAAGGCCCACCCATGACATACACCAGATGGCTCTCCAAGAATCTCTCTAGTTCTCAGGGTCCCTAAGGTACTGGACAGAGCTAGGGAGGCAAACCCATTTGCTTCTTCCTGCAGGAAACCCCTTGAGGTCAAGACCCCACAATCAGACGAGGATGGAGTGGCTCACCCTCAGTCAACAGGCCAGACTCAAGGTGTTATAATGTCTTAACCAAGGGTGCGGGCCTCCAGGTCTGACTCCCAACTCACTGCTCCTTTAGTAACCACTCTTTGTTAATTCTCCTTAACAGGGGTTCCTGGCAAGTCATTTCTCCCTCAGGCCTTCGGTTTCCTCACCTACAAGATGAGAGGGCTGGACCAGATGGCAATTCGGGAGGTAAGGGGATGTCCGCGTGCAGCCCACCCCGCCCATGGGCCCCTCGAGCATCCATCACAGTTCCCAACACGCAACCGCTCCACAAATCCTGCCCAAGGTGAGGGCTGGTCCCAGGTCCTCCGGCTGCCGCATCAGCGAGTGCAGGAGGGAGGAGAAGCCTCCAAAGGGGCGACGTGGGCTCAAGGATGCAACTCGGCCAGGAGTGAACTGGGGCCCAGATGGAGGTGTCCAGTCTGGTGCTGGAGCCCAGCCCTGGTCCCTGACCCCCTTACCTCCAGGGTCCGTATCTCCTGCTGGGTGAGGTCCTTGGACACAGCGCACTTGGTGCGCAGCCCGCGCAGGCTGCCAATGGAGATGCCGATGAGCTTCTGGAGCTGCCCGCACTGCTGCAGCGCCCGGCTGGCCGCGGCCCCTGTGCCTCCCTACGCGATAGCCGCGTCACCCCCGCCACTGCCCTCCTTCTTCTCTCCCATTGCAGCCGAGCGCAGCGCCGCTCTATGCGGGCTGCAGCAGCCCAGGAGCGGAGCCCTGGGCGCCGGCGTCTAGGCAAGGAACCCCTGATTCGGGAGAGCTGGACCAGGAGCGCCCCTTGGCGCTGCCTTAGTCAGGACGCCGGTAGAGCTGGCAGCCAAGTCTGCGGATCCAGCCCTCAGACCCGCGGCGGTGGGGGCAAAAAACTGCAGCGGTGGGCGCAAAAAGCCGGGGCGGTGGGGGAAAAAGCCAGGGCGACGGGGGCAACAAGCCATGGCGGCGGGGTCAAAAAGCCGTGGTTGCGGACGCAAAAAGCTGCGGTGGCGGAGGCAAAAAGCTACGGTGATGGGCGCAAAAAGCCGTAAAAAGCCGCAGCATTGGGGGCAAAAAGCCGCGACGGCGGGGGCAAAAAGCCCGGGCGGTGGGGGCAAGAAGCCGGGGCAGGAAAAACCTGCGGCGACAGGGGAAAAAACTCGCGGCGGCGGGGGCCAAAAGCCGCGGCGGCAAAAAGCCGCAAAAAGCCGGGGCGGCGGGGGCAAGAAGCCGCGGCGGGAAAAACCTGCGGCGGCGGGGGCGAAAAGCCGTAAAAAGCCGCGGCGCCGGGGGCCAAAAGTCATAAAAAGCCGCGGCGGCGGTGGCAAAAAGCCGCAGCGGAAAAAGTCGCGGTGACGGGGGCTAAAAGCTGCAGCGGCGGGGGAAAAAAGCCGCGGCGGCGAGGGCAAAAAGCCGCGGCGGTGGGGGGAGAAAGACGCAAAAAGCTGCGGCGGCAAAAAGCCGCGGCTGCGAGGGCAAAGATCCCCAAAAAGCCGCGGCAGCAGGGGCTAAATTCCGCGAGGCCGGGGGCAGAAAGCCGCGGTGGCGGGGGCAGAAAGCAACGGAGGCGGGGGCAAAAAGTCGAGGCGGCGGAGGCATAAAGCCGCAAAAACCCGCAGCAGCGGGGGCAAAAATCCATGGCGGCAAAAAGCCGCGTCGGCGGGGGCAAAGTAGTGGAAATGGGGTAGAAGGCCAGAACAGCTTGGCATTCCTGGAGTGTGATGTGGAAGGAAAAGTGCAGAGGAAGACAAACAAAGATGTAAGTTGGCTTGACTCAGTGCAGCTAAGAACCCAGATGTTATCTTGATGTTATCTATCAGCTAATTTTTTGTAGTTTAGTAGAGAAGGGGTTTTACCACATTGGCCAGGATTGTCTGGATCTCCTGACCTCATGATCCACGCACCTCAGCCTCCCAAAGTGATGGGATTAGAGGCATGAGCCACAAAGTGCTCAAAAAATCTATTAATTAAAAAATGTGTATGTAGCCGTCTTTAATCTACCATGTCCATTAGCAGATAAATACTATAAGCAAAATAGCAACAATGAGAGAAACATAGACTTAGAGTAGATACTCTGATTTATTTAATAAAAATTTGAAAATAGACCAAATTACTCTATGATAAAAAAAAATCTGTTGCTATTGAGGATGAGGGTTAGTGTTTGGAAAGGGGCAGGAGAAGTATCACTATTTTTAGTAATGTTCTATTTTCATACATGGTTATAAGCAAATACATGTGTTTCATTAATGAAGCTATCCATATTTAATCATTGTACTTTTCTGCATGTATGATATATGTCAATAAATGTCTTATATACAGCAAAAATAGACAAAACCACAAGAAGACATACACAAATGTTAAACCTAGAGAGAAATTTGAATATAAGTAAGTCTCTGAATGACTGCTAGAACAAACCGAAAAATAGGATGGAGAGGTTTGGAACAGCATGATTAGCAAAATGGACATATCTGTCTTTTAATATAGGCAGAAACATAGTTAGATAAAAAAAGGACTTGTCTCAGAGCATGATTTCTGAAAATAGTGGAATCGAGTTTGAATCTAGTAAGTACATATAAATAAATGTCTTAAAACTCCTCTTATGTTAGCTAATTAAGAAACATTATTGTAATAGACATTAGAAAATATTTTAATAAATTGAGTGGATTTAACACGCTAAGGAAATGATCTTACTTGCATTTGATAGTTCAATTAGATACATATACACCTATAGGTAGTTTAAAATATTTCTAATAACCTTATATACTTTTAAAAAGCATTGATATCTGTTTGCACTATCTGGTCTATAGAGTACGCATACCAAACATGATTATAGCTCTTCTGCTATAAACTTCAAATGTCTAAGTAATACAAAAATCTAGAATGAGAAGAGTTCTTTGCATTTTTTTTTTTTTTTTTTTTTTTTTTTTTACCAAATAGAATATAGGAAGGATAGCTACAAATATACCTGACACACTTATCTGTGAGTATGGTGGTAGCCTTTTTATTTTATTTTATTTTTCAGAGAGGGTTTCACTTTGTCACCCAAGATGGGGTGCATTCATGTGATCAGAGCTCACTGAAGCCTTCACATACTGTGCTCAAGCGATTCTCCCACCTCAGTCTCCTGAGTAGCAGGGACTGCAAGTGCATGACACCATACTAGCTAATTTTTGTAAAGATGGGGTTTCACCATGTTGCCCTGGCAGATCTCCAACTCCTGGACTCAAGAGATCTGGCCACCTTGGCCTCCCAAAGTGCCGGGATTATAGATTTGAGGCACCGCGATCAGCCCAGCCTTAAAAAAGGGTGACTAGAGATCTTTATCTATGTATATCTATCTATAAAATAAACATATGTGTTTCTTATATAAAAATATATACTATTAATATTATATAAAAATTTTTTTCAAGGTAGAAATATATAAAGAGGGTGCATGTAGAGCCTGGGGCATTGTGTAGTGAAGCTCAAGGCGTCTGAAGAAATGACCCTTGCCTCTTTTGTCTGGGCTAGAATCCGAGAAGGGAAAGCAGCAGATGCACTGGTTCCCAGGTTCTTGGCATCCTACAGAGAGAAACTTGTTTGAGCTAGGGTAGCGTTAAACACCCTTGTTCTTACTCTCCTGTTTTATGTAGTGAGCAGAGACTAGCTTCATGAGAACAGACTGTGACAGCCAAGGCTGTCTGTTATTTTGTGCAGCATTAATTGAGAAATTCTAGCACCTGAAGACCTCTGGGCCATTTGAGGGTAGGTGCAGGGGAGGAAAGGGAAGTTTGCATCCCTCATGCTGTGGAGAGAACCCGTGGGGAGCACAGACCTTGTCCTAACTGAAGGCAGACCCCCTTGCTAACCAGATTCTCATCAGCCAACCCTGGATGAGTTTCTATGTCTATTTATTAAATAATCCTCATTGCTTTTCTTCACATGGGCAAAGTATGGTTTGCAGGGAATATTGTTCCTTTGAACACCCATCAAGGAAAACCCTTCCTGTTGTGGGAAAACAGGCTTCCATATGTGTCTTATTGGGAAACACATAGGCAATTTCTATGTTTTTACTGCATCTATTTCAGGGATATGGGAACTGAATAGTGCCCATCAAAGGCTCACCTGATGTTGGAAATTGATCTGAGAGCGCGGAAGGACATAATTCTTTCTTTGTTCCTGGGCAGCGGTGGTTGAGGGTTCACCTTGTGGCAGCTACAGTGGCAATGATGGAGGCAGAATGGAGGGCTCAGTACCAAGACAAGGAGAGACTTGGCCTCACAATGGCAGCATTGCAGGGGTGCGCTCTACAGAGCATTTGCTCACATGGTTTTGGGCATTGTCTCTAACTACATTGCTTCCCCAATAGGTTGACCCATTCTAACTAACTCCTTTTCTCTTTAAAAAAGCAAACTTCATTTGTATGACTTGCAATTGTAAACGACACCAATTGGCCAGTTATCATTCAAATTCTCTGTTACTTAATCCTGCCTTTTCCTGACGTATGCAAATTTGCCCTAAAAAATTGGACACTTTGTTGCTTACTCATTGTCTTTACACATTTTAAAATGTTGCTTTAGGCCCCAATCCCTAACTACATTTTCAATGTTTTGCAAGTGGAGTCCATGTGTTCTTGATTTACATGAAGCTCAAAATAATGGTTATAGTAACTAGTACTTCATAATTAAGCAAAAAGCTCTTATTGAAAAATGACAGAACTATACATAGGGATGACAACATGGAGAGATATTTCGTGAGATCACAAACTTATGGTATAGCAGAAGTAGAACGCTGAGTAGAGACTCTGTGTTCCCAATCATTATTTCTACCACCAGCTTTCTATTTTGATGGTAATAATGTTCTTATGTGGGAAACCCTACATATTTGCCAATGTTTAGTTCATTGACAAAGAAATAGAAAGAGCTTCAAGAACACTCGAATCTTTAAAAAATAAAATACCTATAATTGGCCATACGAAATAATTGGTACTTGACATATACTGAGATCGTTTTATTTTGTGCTAGATAAATGAAGTCATAGAACAGAATGTGCTTTAAATATTATGAATAGTGCCTGCGTGTGTGTGTGTGTGTGTGTGTGTGTGTGTGTCTATAGATGCATATTAGGCCGCTGAAAAGTTTTATTATTCTTTCCAGGAGAGAGACTGCCAACTTTTGAACCTAACTAGAACAATATATTGCTTCTTCATATTTTGATTAAGGCAAAGAGAGTCTAGTTAAAAATAATTCAACTTGTCGTGGAAATGCTATAAATTGCTGTGAAGTGAGTTGCTGGCTATGGCTTGTCAGAGTAAATATATTGTACAAATCTTAGGGGAGAATCAGTGCTCGTGCATTAAAATCAAATCATCTTGCAGCACACTGAGAAAAAGGTTAGATTTTTAAAATAATTTCAAAGTCATGAAAAGAGCAAATATGCTCCACAAAGAGCCTAGCAACCCTCAATGACCAATGCCCCTTTTATATAGTTTGGTATCTGAATTAGAATCCCAGAATCTACAAATTCCTCTGGGTGAGGGTGCTGCATTTTGAGGATTTTATAACACTGCCATCACCAAGCTCTCTTTTGATATTCACTTTAAGGAGATAATTTACGGGCAACCAGAGAGCATAAACCAAAGTAGATATCTAACTAGATAGCCAGATACATCTCCATATCATTGACAGGATACATTCTGGCCGAGTGTGAGTACAACCTATGGATGTGGTTGGAGAGAACATGTGTTCCACCTCAATGGCAGATCAGGATTATTCCTTCTCATCTGCTGCAATGGCTCAATGTGTTAAGGAGAGGAGCGAGACAGCAAGAACCGCATTCATTCAGTCATACAGACCAAAAGGAGGAATGTCGCCCAGCCCTCTAAACTGACCCAGAACCCAGCTCATGTCTCAACTGCTACCTCTCCTACTTAGAAAGAAGTAACTCCACCAAAGCAGGGTTCTGGACAAATATATTTTTATTGATCATATACAAATAGATGAAGATGGACTTGGATGTTAAGAAAAATAATACTATACAAAATCAAGAGTAGACAGTCAC
Organism: Homo sapiens; assembly: GCF_000001405.40. Classification (NCBI taxonomy): domain Eukaryota; kingdom Metazoa; phylum Chordata; class Mammalia; order Primates; family Hominidae; genus Homo; species Homo sapiens. Next base: position 177,006 of record NT_187648.1, read on the forward strand.
CCCTAGACTTAAATTAAGGGTGTGTACATTAGATAATTTAATCCAATGTATCAGGTAAAAACTTGAACGAACCTTTTAGCCTCTTCCTTAAAATTCAGGAAAGCATGTCCTCCACAAAACAGAATCAAAATATAAATAAAAGACTGGCTTAAGATGAAAGGAAACCTTACAAATGAAAAGAAGCCAGATGAGAGGCCCTTAACTGAGAATGAAAAGAAATTGAGTGGACAAAATAATTATGAGATGAACCTTCAAATCAGAAAGAGGGAAAAAAGCTTATTTGATACTATGGGAACTCAAAAGAGAGTGAACAAAAATGTGAAAATTCCAGGAGTACAGAAAAGTAGCATGGCTAAATTAAGAGAATGAGAAAATGTGTACAATTTTGAGTAATAAGAACAGAAATCAAAAGTAACTGTTGTATGTTATATTTTAGTAGAGGAACACTGAAGAAGAATGAAAACAAGAAATAATATTAAATATGAACATATGGAGAACAGAATAATATTTCTAAAATTTTTAGTTTCTAAGCTTATCTGAAATTTTAATTTTGTTTTCTTATGTAATACCAGAGTTATTAGGAAGGTATTATCTACTAACACTATTTTCAGTGATATTTTAAGTAGTTGTCCTAGTTAAATTTCTATTTTTTAAAAATGTATATTTAAAAATACATTAAATGTGTATATACATCAATCATATGTATCGATTTCTGTTTTTCTTGAATTGCAAATGAAATTTGTATTTTTGTGTTCCTGGAATAAAATAAACTTGAATGGATTGTAATATTTTATTCATGCTGTAATTCAATGTATTTGAATTCTTTAAGAATGTTACATTTACAGTTAACAGATACTGACCTATAAATTTTCTGTCATATAATGATGCTGTGAGACAATCTAAGAAGAATTAAAATTTAAATTCATGTATTCTTACTTTTTTCTCTGTTCTCTAACTGTAATATATTTTAATTACAGATGGAGGAACAGACAGATGTTAGATAAATAGATATATAATATATAGATCATCCAAAATTCTTATTCTTATGGTTTTATGTAGTCAGTATTTACCTCTATTTTTCTACATGTTTATCCTTCCAATTTAGTTCATTATTTCCTGCACCTTTGATTTCATATATATAAACAGGAAATAACACATGGTGGCCGTTATGTAGAGAGAGCCACAGGACTTGTGAATAAAATCCACAGGCAAGGACGTGGCGATTCGTTTTGCAATATTGGAGGGAATGCCAAACCCTATGTTTGCTGTGGAAAAGAGTATGGTAGTTCCTCAAAACATCAAAATGGTATTGCCTTACGATTCAGCAGCCCCACATCTCAAGACAGCAAAAGAATTGAAAGCAGAGTCTTGAAAAAATATTTGCACATCCATGTTTGCAGCAGCATTATTGGCAATAGCTAAAACGTAGAAGCAATTGAAGTGTCCAACAACAGATGAATGGATATGCAAAACATGATATATACATACAATGGTAAATCATTCAGCCTTAAACATGAGGGAAATATTCAGACATATGTTGCATCTTGGATGAAACTTGAGGATATTATGCCAAGTGAAATAAGTTAGTCAGTGAAGGACAAATACAGTACAATTCCATTTGTATAAGAGACTTAAACTGGACAGAATCATAGAGATAGTACAATGATGAATGCCAGAAGCTGGGGGGAGGAAGACATGGGAAAGTACTGTTTAATGGGTATAGAGTTTCAGTTTCACAAGATGAAACGAGTTATGGAGATGGATGGTAGGGACGGCTGCACAATGTTATGACTATATTTAGTACCACTGAACTGTACATTTAAAATGGTTAACAGAGTACATTTTATGTTATGTGTATTTTACCACAATAAAAAAATAAAATACCTTAGGAACATTTTCCTGAAAGAGTCCACATAAAATTCATTTTAATGCATGTGTTTATGCATAGCTTTCTATTTTTCTCTTTTCTATTTATATTCCAAATTAGAATATAATGCTAATCAAGCATAGTGGCTGTGTTTCTTGCTTCCTCTAGTCTGCAGGTAGCATACAAATGTAAGAAACTACTAATTAATGTCACATCTATTTATTTTCTGCTTTATACCAAGCTTGTGGGATTCTCTTAAATACAACATTTTTATACTTACACCTATGAAATACCCATTAACATCGCCTTCCTAAATCAGTGGAAATTGAGTCTCTGTAAGGTGCAGTAACTTACTAAGATACAAAACTCAGCATTTAAGTCTGTATACTTCAATATCCTGCCCTCTTCTCATTTGTCTTTACTGCCTTTTATGTATGTGTTAGATGTTCAATAAATTCTCTTTTTTAAACTGAATTTAAGCCGTGGAGCAGTGTTTTGTTGAACAATAAATATGATATTGGACACTCTTCCTCCCTTTCATTTACGATCCTGTTCAAGAAAAAGAGAAAATCTTTCATTGTGCTAGAAGCTTAAAATAATGAAAATGCCACTTTCTACATTAAACAGAAACTGAAGGGAATCAAGGTGAATTGGATGAGACATAGAAAACAAGTGGGAAATAAATCTAGTATAATTTCCCCTTTGTGTACCTTTGTTATTTAGCATTTGAGAAAATTTTTCCCCCAAATATCTTCCCATCTTAATTCATGTCTATAAAGTAGACATTTATGCCTCACCTTGTCAAGAAGGGCAAACTCTAACATAAACATTTCCCAAAAATGCTTCCTGCTAAAACATAAGCTCGGTCTGGCTAGAAATTAAGCTCACTTCATAAAAATTAATTGGTAGCTAATCTTTGCATGCTGTTCTCTGAACTTGAGTGAAAGCTGTCCATCAGGCATACAGGGAATGACGGAAAAGGTGACAACAGAAGATGAATGCTATGTCACTAACCTTCAAAGATGACCTTCCTTTTCTTTCAAATTCTTGATGTCTTAAGATTTCATTAATTCATCTTTCTTTGCCCTTGGTTCAACATTGTGCTATACCAAAACTCATGTAAAACGATGATGTATTGTAATAAAAATGGCATTTTTCTTTCATGTAGATTCAAGCTATGTGGCATTTTTACAATCGACATATTTCCGTTGTCAATTTTTCATTCTGTATTGGAAGTAATTGATAGGTATTTCTGAAGGAATGAAGGTATTTCTGTGTTCATTGTGATCCAAACTTTTTTTAGACCTAGTGGTGTTTGTAAAACAATTTGTGCCAGCTGACCAAGGACCACTGTGGCAGAAAGCAGCAAACTTGCATAAGATGTCACTGCCTCATCAGTTGGCTTTGAAAACTAGGGGCTTATTCTATAGTCCTCTGAATCAAAGACATTGATAGATGTAGTATAAGATTACAATCATACTTTCCTTTTGACAGTCACATTATAAAGCATGATGTATTGCAATTAATCTCAATTAGCTGATCACAATTAAAATTAATAGCTTATTATTGCTGATAAAAAATCATGACTCTCCTGTTCTCAAATGTGCAAGTAATTCTTGTAATTTTAATACAAATGTGCATATTATTACTAATTGATTTAATCTCATTGTATTTGGTTCATGGATCCAATTTATTAAAATATTGATAGTGTGGTAATGATTTGTCTCCCCATTTCATTTACACTAAAAGACACAATTCGTACAATGGTCTGCAAGCCCATCATGATCTGCCGCATGTTAACCGCCAAAATTCTTTTATGTCTTCACCCTTGATCTTACCAGTGGTCCTGTCCACCTCACTGTCCTCTGGACATGCCAACATGCTGCTGTCTTATGACCAAGACTCTAGTTAATTTCTTGGCTTTGAAAGAAATCCCCCCATATATCCATTGATCAGCTCATTCGACTCCTCAAATCTTTACTGAAACCTCACATTCTCGATGAGACCTATTCAGTATTTCAAACTGCCTCCCAGCTGAAACATTCCAAAACCCCTTAGTCTTCTGTGTATTTTTGAAAGGATTTATTGAGATATAATTTACATAGTGTAGAGTGCACATATTAATGTCTACAAGTCAATGGCTTTTAGTATATACGCAGATAAGTGGAGCCATCATCACAATGAATTTTAGAGCATTTTCATCACTTCAAAAAGAAACCCCACTTTCTCTAGCTGTTAACCTCCTATGCACTCATCCCCTACTCAATCCTAAGCAACCACAAATCTGTTTTCTGTCTCTGTAGATTTTCCTATTCTATTTTCATCTAAATAGAATCATACAATAGGTGGCCTTTTGTGCCTGGCTTCTTTCAGTTGGCATAATGCTATCAAGGTTCATATGCGTATCGGTACTTTATTTGTTTTTATACCTGTATAACATTCAATTTCATGGATATGACATTTTGTTTATCCAATAATATTTTTATTGACATTTGAGTTGTGTTCAACCTTTGGCTATTTTAAATACTGCTGCTAAGAATACTTGTGTACAATTTGTGTTTGAACACCTCTTTCCAATAATCTGGGTGTATACCTGGGAATAAATTTCTGGGTCATATGACAATTCTATGTTTAATATATTTAGAAGCCATCAACCTATTTTCCAAAGTGGTCAGTTCTAGCCATAGCGTATCTAACTGTGGTTTTGATTTGTAGTTGCCTGATGAGTGATGCTGTTGAGTATCTTTTTATGGGATTATTGACCGTTCGTGTATCTTCTTGGAAAACACATCTATTCCTATCATTTATCAGTTTTGAGTTGGGATATTTGTTACTGAGTTAAAACAATTTTTCTATATTCAAGATACATATATATGCAGACATATAGATATGTGTTTTTCAAATATTTTCTCACAATTTTTGAGCTGCCTTTTGACTTGCTTGGTTGTCCTTTGAAACACCAATGTCTTTAATTTTTAAGAAATTTTAAATATCTCATTTTTATTTTGTTGCTCATGTTTTTGGTGTTACAGCTATTTCTTTGCTAGATCCAAAATCCTGAAGATTTTCCCATATGCTTTATTCTAGCTCTTCCATGTATGTCTTTAATTCATTTGTGTTAATATTTTTGTATGCTTTGGGGTAAGGGTTCCAATTTATTATTTTGCAAGTGGCGATCCACGTGTACGCTGTTGACCCAGTTTGTTCAAAGACTGTCCCTTCCTCATTGAATTGCACATGGCACCACTGTAAGAATCCATTGACTATAGACACATAGTTTTATATATGGACTCTCAATTCTCTTCCATCAATCTATATATTTTTCTTTCATCAGTGTTGTGTTGTCTTGATTACTGATGCTTTGCCGTAAGGTTTGGAGCACGGGGGTGTGAATTATCCTAATATGTTTTCTTTTTTCAAGACTATTTTGGCTATTTTGAGTCCCTTACATTCCCATGTGTATTTTAGAATCAGCTTGTCAGTTTCTAGACAGAAGTCTGTTGGGATACTTGCAGGGATTACGTCAAATCTGTAGTTCAACTTGAAAGTACTACAATATTAAATCTTCCAATTCATGGCTGTAAGATATTTGCTAATTATTTAGATCTTCTTTAAACAATAATTTTTAATTTTCCGAGTAAAATCTTGTATCACATTTTCCAAATTAATTATTATTTCTTTTTTTGATGCTATTTTAAATTGAAGTGTTTTCTTAATTTCATTTTTGGGTTTTCATTGTAGATGTGTGCAATTGATTTTTGTAGATTTATCTTGTATGCTGTAATATTGCTGAAATAATTTACTAGTTCTATTGTTCAGTGAATTCCTTAAAATTTTCTATATACAAGAATATTATTTTCAAATAAAGTTTTATTTCTTCCTGTTCAATATGGTTGACTCTTTTTTTTTAGTTGCCGACTTGCCCTGCATAAAATCTTTAGTACAGTGTTGACTAGAAGAGCTCAAAGTATATATCTTATTCCTATCTCTGACCATAGCGGGAAAGCATCCTTTACCATTAAGTTGCATTCTTGCTGTTGGCTTTTCACAGGTGCCATGTATCTGGTGTAGAAAGTTCTCTATTCCTGGTTCATTGAGTTTTTATTTTTATTTTTAATCATTAAAGCATTTGGATTTTGTTAAATGTCTTTTCTGAATCTATCGACATGATCATGCAATTCTTGTTTCTTATTCTATGGATAAGATGTATTACCTTAATGGATTTTGGGCTGTTAAACCAACCTGAGATTACTAGTATAAATTTCACTTTGTCATAGTGTATAATTCTTGTATATGTTGCTAGATCTGATTTGTTAGTAGTTTTTAAGGAATTTTGCATTTATACTTATAGTAGTTTTATTTTTCTATGCTATTTGGACTAATTTTTGTATCAAGGTAACACTGGCCCCATAGAATAAATTGGGAAGTGAATATTTCTCTTTTTTAAAAAAGTCAGTCAAGAATTAATATTAATTAGTCAATACTAACAAATATGATTAATATTATAAATTATTAATTTCTCTAATTTTTATTTTCTTCCTTCTGCTTGCTTTAGGTTTAGTTTGCTATTCTTTCCAGTGCCTTAATGTGGAAGGTTATCTTATCTCATCCTTTCCTTTGTCTTTTCATTTTCGAAATAGTGTCTTTTTAGCATCAGGTGAGCTCCCCAGGTTGGTAGTACTCCATGTTTATTGCTGTACAACAATGACAGGTAATATGTCCTGAAGACAATGGAAATTTAACATTCAAAATCCTCCTAGATTCCACCTTATGTGATATGTCTCTTCCTTTGATTGGTCCTAATTTCTACCCTTTCTCTATTATAAACCATGAGTACAATGGCATTCAATGACTTTTGTGAGTCTTTTTAGTAAATTCTTGAAACTGAGGGTGTTCTTGGGAAACCCCTGAACTGGCAATTGGTGACAAAAGTGCAAATCATCTTATATGGCCTCTTCCTTTGAACTTTGCAGCTGGACCCAAACTCTGCACAATTTGGGGCAGAAGTCTCGTGTTGACTTTGCAGCCTAAATTATCTTGTAGTTTGTCTAACCCTCAATAAATTTGTTTTCATCAAATATTGTATTTGTTACCCCAAAATTACCATCATGGTTTTTTCTCCAAATAACTAACATTGGGAGAAATAGCCAGCTGAATCTGTAACTCAACAGAAACAAGTGATCCATATACCATATAAGTGGCCATTTCATTTTGCCTCCTTCCACCAGATCTTAGCAACCTCAACCATTGCCATGAGCCACTGTAGGCCTACCATCTACAAACAAACAAGTATCTTTTAAAAAGACTTCATACTCCCATTTGATAAATTTCCCAGCAAAGAGATGTTTACTTTAACTCTATGCAAGTGGCTCATATTCTCAAAGTCTGGAGATATTATTCATGAAGTGTGAGAAAATCATCCCAGCGATGCCAGCACATTCTCCTTCCCATGATCTGCTTACTTTGCAAAGATATTCAGGCCATAGGTGAGAGATTTGTATTTCAAAGTACAACGATTTTATGGAGGTCATTGAAACTTAGATTTAGCATTTTAGCACAGTCACGCATCACTGAATGACAGGGATACGTTCTAACAGATGCATCCATAGGCAATTTCATCATTTTGCCAACGTCAGAGAGAATATTACAAACACCTAGTTTGTACAGCCTACCACGTTTAGGTTATATGGTATAGCCTCTCTCCCCTAGGCTACAAACCTGTGTACTACATTACTATACTGAATACTGCAGGCAATAAGAACACAGTGGTAAGAGTTTATGTATCTAAACATACTTAAACATAGAAAAGAATGTAAAAATATGTATTATAATCTCATGGGACCACTTTTGTATATGTAATCCATCTTTGACTGAAATGTTATTATACATGACATGACTCTATGACAAAAATAATACATTTTAAAAAATGTACACATGTATCAAACATATTATTATAAAAATAAAAATCTTCAGTGTAAGAATTTGTAATGATCACAAAATGTTCACAGCTTATATTTAAGTACAGTTTCAAATGCCTAGTGCAATTACTATTTATTTCTTTGTGTATTTTAACCATGTATATAATAAATATTTTTCAGGTTCAACAATATATATCAATCCTACAGGCTCTTATAAATATTAGCTAAAATCAATTGGTAAATTCATGTATATATATGCTTACCTGTATCAGTGAGCGTGTGTGCATGTATGTTTGTGTAAATGTAATTTTATGTGTGTGTAAATGTAATTGGATGCATCCTTATATTTACCTTTACCTTCAAGATTTCCAAGATTCATTTATTATCTTTAGATGATGGGCATTTAAAGATTTACCAAATACAACTGTATTAGTGGAAAATATCAAGATGTTATTAAATTCATCTTGTGCACATAATTGTTTCTATAATTTTAAGTTTCTTGCAAAACTTGCAGTAATGCTCATGCACAAAATAATTTCCTAAATAAAAAAAAAAGGTTTTCTCAGTCATTAATTCTTAAAATTATTTCTCCCCAATAATTAATGTGAATTAATTCTTAATTCTTAATGATAGAATAATGTTGCCCTTCAGAGTTCGGAAACTTTTACATGTTGTACACATTTCACAAACCAGAACAACTTCTGAAATATTGGCATTAATTAATGTCACTCAGCAATTATTGATTTCAAAGGCATTAAATATCATTCCTATTCTGAATCACAAGGGTACTTTGGCATCTTATTTAATCAAGCTCTTTGTATCATCATCTACAATTTAATTACTTAACAAACATTTCTCTGTGTGAGAAAGATTGAGCAGGTTATTGTGCTTTTTTAAGATGCAACTTTTGCTTAATCTAGAGATAGGCAATGCTCCCTATAAGGGACAAGGAGAAAAATAAATGAGCAATAGAGATGTGACAGGCATGGAAAAAGACACTACATTTATCAAACAAATAGGGCCACGGATGACGATAATGGGGATCAAATCTTGAGATACTGACTCAGTTTATAACCTCACTGTATAATAGAGCAAATCATTTGTTAATTTTTTTACAAATGGAATTTAATTTAATTAAGATGAATACAGTGTTTTAAACAAGGCAGGTCATCTTAAAATAAAATAGTGGAATAAAGTGATAAAACCAATGTAAAAATCGTAAACATTTTATAAAGAATTTTTGTCATGTAATTTAATATTTTTGTTCATTTAAAATCACCCAAATCAAAATAATTTTATCTTAATTAACAAATAATCATCAGAAGTTTAACTAATTTTTACTTTATAATACTAGGTTTAAAAATTCTGAACTATAGTTTTAATCACATATGCTTATATATAAAATAGACAGGATATATATTTACATGTTCACAATATTATATTGTAATTGCTCCTATGGATGTGGTTTTTCAATAGAATTAATAAGTACTTTAAAAAAGTTTCAATTTCAATGATGTATATGATTGATTTTTCTTAGAAAAAGCATACATATATTGATAGGTAATAATATGAAAATCTTCTAAAGGCATTACAGGAACACGAAAATGTAATTAAATACTCACTAATTTGTAATGTTTTATGTAAGTGGAACACATTTAACTGAAAATTGCTTTTATATAATACTCAAACGCGACTAAAAACTTTTTAACCAGCGGAGTAAGTCTTCAAATTGATAATCTGGACTATATTGGAGGAGAAATTTCAGGCACTCAAATATTTGAAATGCTACAAAATATTTATATAAACTATTATTTAACAATTTCTGTTTGTAGAGTGCTATACAGTAATCAATATAAATGACATCTCAAGTCTTTCTATAGCTTTGACCACATTTACCTCCTAATTTTAATTATTAATATGTTGGAGCAGTGCATACAACTAGATTCTGATCTTCCTTTTTAATGAGTACAAATATGTGCTTTGAGACAGCATTAAAGAAAGAGCACCTTGTAAAAATTCAATGCCAAGAGACAAGATATTCTTGATTCTGAAGTCTTGTTCTTTTATACAGCAATGTAATTAATAAGAAGAAAAGGAGGACATAGATGTGGAGCCTATTTTAATAAAAAATTGTCTGTAGATTTTCATGATAACATTTAAAAATCTACTATATTTAGTTAGTTACAAGAAACTAGGTTGTGGGAACATATTTGGTCAACAAAACACCCCTACCAAGGGCTGACAAGAAAAAAAGTTAGGTATCACCTTTCTTCTCTGCAGATGGCCTGAGATGGGTTAATTTGAAAGAATGCTTCCAAAGCTGAGGTGACCCCTGAGAACAGCATAATCCACTGCTGTCTCCCGCATTCAGTTTCTCAGTCTGTGCTCTTTTAATTTTGTGGGAAGGGAAGCCAGCCCTTTAAACCAATCTTCAGCATGATGGCAGAACCAAGGAGTGTGGACAGGTGGCACGGTGTCTGACTTTGTTCCCGCAGCCACTTGTGCTTTCTCTGGATCTTCTCTGCCCTAGGGATAGCACCACTATTGAAAACATATCTTTGTGACATTCTCTATGCCAGGAACTCCCAACACATTTTCCTTGAAACTGATGAAATGAATAAAAATAAACCAAGAGGTGTGCTGTTTGTTTCTGTTTCCTGCTTTCTGCAGCCCTTCTTGATCATCTAATATTTTCAAATACATTGTTGATCACCAAAAGGAGCATAAGGGGTATATTGATTTGTAGCAGATGTATTAATAGCCCAGCCCCTATTCCTTACCTGTAGCTGCTGGGAAGAAAACCACTCTTAACACTCTACAAGGTCTCATCTCCAGAATTTGCAGCTGTTTCTAGCTGAGGACTTTCTCTAGCAGCATGGGAGCTTGATACTGGGCAAGTGGGAAGAAAAGGTGAGGATAACTAAGAAGAATCTCCCTGGATTCAGTGATGTAATTCTGAGGCATGTTCCACATAGCTTCCCATAGAATTAAGCCCCGATATCTAACACAGGAACTTGCCTCTTAACACGTGTGGTACTGGCTTTTCTATCTTTCCTGTTTTATTTTGTTCTCTCTTCCTTGTCTCACTTTCGCTGTGTCCTCACTCCTGCTTTAAGAATACCCAAACAAAAACACTCATTTTTTTTTAAGAGTCTCAGAATACAGTTGATAGTGTAACTTGTAATCTATGATAATCAGCTTGGATGCTGTACTGACAGGAAGATGGTGAACTCACAATGTCTAATTAAGATAAAATTAAAAAGTATATTGATTCATGTCAAAAGATTTAAAAAACCTAAGTGGCAGTGTCACAATTTCTTCTTTTTAGTTTACATGGTTTCTTAAACGCCTACAATTATTTTAAAGGAAGCCTTGAATCTAGGAAAAATTGAGACATATGGAATAAATTACTAACCCATTTCTCCTTGAAATCCATTAGATGCTTGATGATTTCTCACATATATTTCTGAATTGAAAAGCTAGCTGTGAATTATTTTTATATGCATATCCTTAGGTAATATTTTGTTTTTAACAGTGAATTGAAGGTTTAAAGATTAAATTATTCTATCCAGAGAATAAAAAGCAATTATTTCACAAGGAGAACATGTGTACGTTGACACGACATTTTAAAGTCTAGAATTTAAAAAAGGACCCATATACTTTTGTGTCAAATAGAATATGTTTGTATCAGTCTGTCTACAGTTTTACACCTGTCAAAATGTACTTGAACTACAACAACAACCTTGAACAATTTTGAAATTGATGATTCCTCTGAAACTGATTAAAAGAATTATGGTAGAGTGAAATTCTGATTGACATAATTTGGGAGAGAAATTATTCCTTGGACATCAACCTCTGCCAAGATAGTTTATAATGACATTGAGGCTTTTTGATTTACACAATTTGTTATATAAAAAATACTAAGACGATGGCAGATAATACACAGACTTTAATTAAAATTGTACTACAATTAAATGTCTAAATAAATTAGAAGGGTACATGGTACATCTAATTGTATGTTTATATATTTTATTTGTGCATTTTTTTCCTAGGGTTTCTTTTGCTTTAGTTTGTAAAACGTTCTTATGTTTATAATAATGTAGCATATACTAAATAAAGAAAAATCAGGAAATAGAAAATGAAGAAGAAAACATTAGCTATTGTCAACCAAACAAAAATTGTGCAATCTCTAAGCACATGAACTATGTAATATTTGTACAGCATAGTACAATGTTTATGCTTCACAGGGTGAGGTAGAGACTGCAAAACCTTGAACTTGGGACAAACAAGAAAGTAAGGAAATTTTCACAACATATTAATATTATAGAAAATGTTGAACTTAACAGTTAAGATACAAGTAGTGAAAAATGATAGTATTTAAGGAGATCTAGAAAATTTAATCTATACCTGTAATGTGTGAGAAGTATTAGAATAATGCTTGTATTTCTGGATTGTCATCGATTTCTATTGAGACTGGAAACATAATAGAAATGAGCAAAAAAGAATTTAAATTGTGGATACTTGAGTTTTATACCTAGGAGTTCCAGAAATACATTTTGTTACTATCAAAGCAGTTGGCACAAGAGGGTACAAAATTCCCTAATTGTGTCTATGTGGAGAAGACATAGACAGAGAATAGCAAAACAGAAATAGCAAAAAAAGCACAAATAAATTTTACCTGTATTTTGAAGTAAAAGCCAATTACAGAGGGAAAACATGAAATTTGTGTTTTATCAAAATTTTTCTCTTTCTCATAATATAGTTGAATATATTACTGGAAAAAATTTGAAGCACTGGTATGTTCACACATAAAAGTAAAATATAAGGTCAAAACCATGGGAATGCAGGGAGCAGACAAAATATAACTAAACACGGAAACTGATTTTTCCCTACGGACATGTAGCAAAATGAATGAGTGCAGATTCCTATTGTCATACATTACATAGGACAGTAAAAAAATACATAGATTTTCCCAAGATAGGGCATCACACAGGAGCTCCTCCCTACAGCTAAGACCAACATTTCTATCCTCAGTATAAGGAAGATCAGAGGTAAATTAGTCCCATTTCACATTCCCTGGAAATGGCAAATAAAAATGATTTGAGATTGGACGGATTTAAAGAAACTCAATCATTAATGATTAACAGCAACTAATTTAAAAATTGTTTAAATGTGCAGTCCAAACATATGTCCGAACACCTTTAGGCCAAGAATTAACATAATGTGGTCCCAGAATGGTGGTGCCTTTAGTAGAATCACAAAAAAATTCAACTTCTCTTTGGCAAATTTTCTACTTATTAATCTGCAAAAGTGCACAAAAATAATTTTCAGAGAAAAATAAATATTTGTCATTCAAAGACATCTAAGCATGCAAGGAAATGATATTCCACCATTTGAAAGGAAAGCAGAAAAAGACTACAAACAGATCCACAAAGGTTCATTAGTAGAAATATCACTGTTAGATTACAAAGCACATTTGCTTACAAAAAATTTTTTAAAAAATGAATATATTGTTAGGAGACTAAAAAATTCATGTAGCAAATTTGAAAAGAAGTTTGTATAAAAATGTAGTTATTTTAAATTAAAAACTCAAAAATGAATTCATCAGATTAGACATGGCCAAGGTGAGAGTTCATAAATATTTCAGAATGCATTACAGAAAATTTTGAAAAATGTAAAATGTGGACAGAATGATGAAGAGACATGGAAGATACAGTGAGAAAGTGTAGCATGTGTTTAGAGAGCGTTCTCATAGAACAAGGGAACTGGGAAGGGACAATATGTGTTGGTATTTTGTCTGAAAGTTCCCTAGACTTTTGTAAGACACTGATCTGCATATTCAAAAACTCCATGCATGCTAAGCAAGCTACAATGGAGATACACCTACACCTATGTATCTCCTAGAGAAATAGTAAACACCCATGAAGGGAAAAATATTTCAATTACCACTAGAAAAATGAAATTACTTTTAATCATACCGAAATCTGAAAAAATGAAAGGTAAAATAAACAATATTATTTGTTCAGAATAATAATGCCATTCTGAATTTCTAAACGAAGAAAAATATTCATCAACCTGTGGCTAAATAACATATTTAGAGAAAAAAACAAAACGCCACCAGCAGAATTCCACTAAAGAAACTAAAGAGAAACTCTGAAAATATGCTTCAGAAAGGTTGAAGTTCTGAAATCAAAGAATGAACACAGAGTAAAATTTATTGTAAACAAACAGATAGAACAAATAAGAAACTGGATGTTGAAACAAAAATATATTTAAAATTAGATAAGCACTGCAATATGTATGATAAAACGAAAATTATTAGGGCTGAAGTACTCAAAGAAATCTTAATTGTATGACAAGTGCAGAAAAGTGAGTATGACTTTGCAACACCTTTTCTTCTTCGAATGGAAAGGAAAGGAATGGAATAGAATGGAATGGAATGGAATGGAATGGAATAGAATGGAATGGAATGGAATGGAATGGAATGGAATGGAATCAAATGGAATTGAATGGAGAGGAATTGAATGGAATGGGAGATGAGATTGTGCCATTGTGTTACACAATGGGTGAAACAATGAGCCACTCTCGAAAGAAAGGAATGGAATGGAAAGCAAGGGAGTGGAGTGGAGAGGAGAGGAGTGGAATGGAGTGGAATGGAATCAGATGTAATGGAATGTAGTGGAATGGAATGGAATGGAATCATCATCGAATGGAATAGAATGGAAATATCATCGAATGGAATCAAGTGGAAACACCATCGAATGGAAACGAATGGAGTCATCATTGAATGGAATCAAAAGGCATCATCATCCAAAGGACTTGAATGGAATAATCATCGAATGGAATCGGATGGAATAATCATCGAATGGAATCAGATGGAATAATCACTGAATGGAATCGAATGGAATCATCATCAAATGGAATCGAATGAAATCATCATTGAAGGGAATCGAATGGAATCATCAACAAAAGTAATCGAATGGAATCATCGAATGGAATCTAAAGGAACCATCATCAAATGGAACTGAAAGGAATCATCATTAAATGGAACCGAACACAGTAATCAGCAAATGGAATCGAATGGACTCATGATCAAATGGAATCAAATGGAATCATCATCAAATGGAATCGAATGGAATCATCATCGTATGGAATCAAATTGAATCAATGAATTGAATCGAATGGAAAGATCACCGAAAGGAATTGAAGGGAATCATCGAATGGGATCAAATGGAATCATCGAAGGGAAACGAATGGAATCATCGAATGGATTCGGATGGATTCATCAGTGAATGGAATTGAATGGAATCATGGAATAGACTCGAATGGAATCATCATTAAATGGAATACAATGGAATCATCGAATGGACATGAATAGAATCATCATTGAATGGAATCCAATGGAATCATCATCGAGTGGAATCTACTGGAATCATTGAATAGACTCGAATGGAATAATCGAATGGGCTTGAGTGGAATCATCATCAAATGGAATCGAATGGAATCATCAAATGGACTCGAATGGAATCATCGTCAAATGGAATCGATTGGAATCATCATCAAATGGAATCGAATGGAATCCTCATCGAATGGAATCGAACGGAATCATCATCGAATGGAATCACCAAATTGAATCGAATGGAATGATCATCAAAGACAATCGAAGGGAAACATCGAATGGGATTGAACGGAGTCATCGAATGGAATCGATAGGAATCATCGAATGGATTCAAATGGAATCATCATCGAATGGAAACGAACGGAATCATCGAATGGACACGGATGGAATCATCATCAAATAGGATTGAATGGAATCATCGAATGGCATCGAATGGAATCACCATTGAATGGAATCGAACGGAATCATCGAATGGCATCGAATGGAATCATCATCGAATAAAATCAAATGGAATAATCGAATGTACTCGAATGGAATCATCAAATGGATTTGAGAGGAATCATCATCGAATGGAATTGAACAGAATCATCAAATGGACTCGAATGGAATCCTCATTGAATGGAATCGAATGGAATCATTGAATGGAGTCGAATGGAATCATCAGCAAATAGAATCGAATGGAATCATTGAAGATCAACGAATGAAATCATCATCGAATGGAGTCGAATGGAATCATCAAATGAACTCGAATGCAATCATCATAGAATGGAATCCAATGGAATCTTTGAATGGACCTGAATGGAATCATCATCGAATGCAAACGAATGGAATCATCATCAAATGGAATCACATGGAATCATCAAATGGAAAAGAATTGAATAATCATAGAAAGGAATTGAATAGAATCATCGAATGAAACCGCATGGAATCTTCATCGAATGGAATCGAATGGAATCATCATCGAATGCAATTGAATGGAATCATCATCGAATGGAATCGAATGGAATCACCAACGAATGGAATTGAAAGGAATCATCATCGAATGGAACCAAATAGAATCATCAAATGGACTCGAAAGGAATCATCGAATGGACTCGAATGGAGTTGTCATCGAATGGAATCAAATGGAATCATCGAACGGAATTGAATCGAATCATCATTGAATGAAATCAAATGGAATCATCGAATGGACTCGAATGGAAGCAATATCAAATGGAATCGAAAGGAATCATGGAATGCATTCAAAGGGAACAATCAAATGGACTCAAATGGAATCAACATCAAGTGGAATCGAAAGGAATCATCGAATGGACCGGAACGGAATCATCATCGAATGGAATCGAATGGAATCATCGAATGGACTTGAATGGAATCACTATCTAATGGAACCGAATGGAATCATCATGGAATGGAACCGGAAGGAGTCATCATCAAATGGAATCCAATGAAATCATTGAATGGACTCGAATGGAATCATCGTCAACGGGAATTGAATGGAATCATCGAACGGTCTCGAATGGAATCATCGGAGAATGGAATCGAATGGAATTATCAAACGGACTCGAATGGAATAAACTTTGAATGGAAACGAAGGGAATCATCAAATGGAATCGAATGCAATCATCGAACGGAATCGAATGGAATCATCGAATGGAATCCAATGGAATCACCATTGAATGGACTCGAATGGAATCATCATTGAATGGAATCGAATGGAATCATCGAATGGACTCGAATGGAAACATCATCGATTGGAATCAAATGGAATCATCGAAAGGAATCGAAAGGAATCATCATCAACTGTAATGAACAGGAATCACTGAATTGAATCGAATGGAATCGTCATCAAAAATATTCGAATAGAATAATCAAATGGAATCAAATGCAATCAACATCAAGTGGAATCGAATGGAATCCTAGAATGACATCGAATGGAATCCTCATCGAATGGAATCAAAGGGAATCAATATCGAATGGAATCGAAAGCAATCACTGAATGGACTTGAATACAATCATCAAATGGATTTGAAGGGAATACTCATTGAATGGAATAGAACAAAAACATTGAATGGACACGAATGGAATCATCATCGAATGGAATCAAATGGAGTCATCAAATGGACTCGAATGGAATCATCATCAAATGGGATCATCATCAAATGGAATCGAATGGAGTCATCGAATGGACACGAATGAATGAACAAATGGACTCGAATGGAAACATCAAATAGAATCGAATGGAATCATCGAAAGGAATTGAATGCAATGATTGAATGGACTCGAATGGAATCATCTAAAGGACACGAATGAATGGAATCATTGAATGGACTCGAATGGAATCATCGAATGGACTCAAATGGAATCATCATCAAATGGAATCGAATGGAATCATCGAATGGACTCGAATGGAATCATCCCATGGAATCAAACCGAATCGTCATCGAATGGAATCGAATGGAATCATCGAATGGAATTGAAGGCAATCATCATCGAATGGAATCGAATGGAATCATCAACAAATGGAATCAAGTGGAAGGAATCATCAAATGGAATCAAAAGGAATCATTGTTGAATGGAATGGAATGGAATCATTGAATGGAATTGAATGGGATCACCAATGAACGGAATCAAATGGAATCATCTTCTAATGGAATCGTAAGGAATCATCAAATACACTCGAATGGAATCATCATCGAATGGAATCATGTGGAATCATCGAATGAACTGGAAATGAATCATAATCAAACGCAATTAAAATGAATCATCATCGAAAGGAATCACATGTTATCATCATCGAATGGAATCATACGGAAACATCACAGAATGGAATTGAATGGAATCATCAGCTAGACTCGAATGGAATCATCAAATGTACTCCAAGGGACGCGTCAAATGGACTCGAACGGAATCATCATCGAATGGAATCGAACGGGATCATCAAAAGGACTCGAATCAAATCTTCAAAAGGACTCAAAGGGAATCATTGTAGAATGGAAATGAATAGAGTCATCAGACAGCCTCGAATGGAAGCATCATTGAATGGAATTGATTGGAAACATCGAATTCACTCGAATGGAATGATCATCTGATGCAATTGAATGGAATCACCGAATGGACACAAATGGAATCATCATCAAATGGAATCCATTGGAACGATCAAATGGAATCGCATGGAATTATCAAATGGAATCGAATGGAATCATCTTTGAATGGAATCCAATGGAATCATCGAATGGAATCGAATGCAATCATCATTGAATGGAATCGAATGGAATCATCGAATGGTATCCAAAGGAATCACCATTGAATGCCCTCGCATGGAATCATCATCATATAGAGTAGAAAGGAATCATTGAATGGACTGGAATGGATCCATCATTGAATGGAATCACCAAATGGAATCAAATGGAATCATCATCAAATGAAATCAAATGGAATCATCAAATGGAATCGAATGGAATCATCATTGAATGGATTCGAATAGAATCTTTGAATGAAATTGAATGGAATCAGCATGAAATGGAATCTAAAGGAATCATAGAATGGTATCGAATGGAATCATCATCGAATGGAATGGAATGGAATGGAATGGAATGGAATCAGCATCGAATGGAATCAAAAGCAATCATTCAATGGACTCTAATAGAATCAGCGAATAGACTTGAATGTAATCATCATCGAGTGGAGAAGAATGGAATCATCGAATGGACACGAATGGAATCATCATCGAATGGAATCAAATGGAATCGTCATCGAATGGAATCGTATGGAATCATCTAATGGACACGAATGGAATCATCATCGAATTGAATAGAATGCAATCATCATCAAATGGAATCGAATGGAATCATCATCAAATAGAATCGAATGGAATCATCAAATGGAATCGAATGGAGTCATTGTCTAATGCAATCGAATGAAATCATAGAATGGAATCCCATGGAATCAACATAGAATGGAATCGATTGGAATCATTATCAAATAGAATTGAATGGAATCACTGAATGGAATCCTCATCAAATGGACTCCAACGGAATCATCGAATTGACTCTAATGGAATCATCACTGAATGGAATAGAATGGAATAATCAAATGGAAACGAATGGAATCATCATCGAATGGAATCGAATGGAATCATCGAATGGAATCGAATGGAATCATGGTCGAACGGAAAATAAGGGAATCATCAAGTGGACACGAATGGAATCAACATCTAATGGAATGGAATGGAATCATCAAATGGAATGGAATGGAATCATCATCGAATGGAATCAAATGGAATCATCAAACGGAATCAAATGGAATCATCAATGAATGGAATCAAATGGTATCATGGAATGGAATTGAATGGAATCGTCTTTGAGTGGAATCTAAAGGAATCACCGAATGGACTCCAATCATCGGATGGAATAAAGTGGAATCATCGAGTGTAGTTGAATGCAATCATCATCGAATGGAACTGAATGGAATCAACGAATGGAATAGAAAGGAATCGTAGAAGGGACGCGAATGGAATCATCATTGAATGGAATCAAATGGAATCATCATGGAATGGAATTGAATGGAATTATCGAATGGACTCGAAAGGAATTGTGCTCGAATGGAATCTAATGGAATCATCAAATGGACTCAAATGGAATCATCATCGAATGAAATCATATGGAATCATCGAATGCAACTGAATGGAATCATTGAGTGGACTTGAAAGGAATTATTATGGAATGGAATTGAATGGAATCATTGAATGGACTTGAAAGGAATCATCATCAAGTGGAATCGAATGGAATCATTGAATGGACTCGAATTGAATCTTTGAATGGAATCGAATGGAATCGAATGGAATCATCATTGAATGGAGTCAAATGGAATCATCATCAAATGGAATTGAATGGAATCTTCATTGAATCGACTCGAAAGGAATCATCATCAATTGGAATCTAATCGAATCATCAATGAAGGGAATCGAATGGAAGCATCATCGAATGGAATCGAATGGAATCATCAACAAGTGGAAACGAATGAAATCATTGAATGGAATCCAATGGTGTCATCGAATGGACACGAAAGGAATCATCGAATGGAATCAAATGGAATCACCATCGAATGGAATCCAATGGAATCACGATCGAATGGAATGTTATGAAATCATCTCATGGAATCGAAGGGAATCATCATCGAATGGAATCGAATGGAATCATTGAATGAAAAGGAAAGGAATCACCATCGAATGGAATGTTATGGAATCTTCTAATGGACTGGAAGGCAATCATCATCGAATGGCATCGAATGGAATCATCGACTGGAAAAGAATGGAATCATCATCGAATGGAAATGAATAGAATCACAGAATGAAATCGAATGGAATCATCATCGAATGGAGTCTAATGGAATAATCATCGAATGGAATAGAATGGAATCATCGAGTGGACACGAATGGAATCATCATTGAATGGAATCGAATAGAATCATCATATGGACTTGAATGGAAACAACATCGAATGGAATCGAATTTAGTCATTGAATTGCATTGAGTGGAATCATCATTGAATGGAGTCTAAGGAAATCATCGAACGGACTCGAGTGGAATCATCGAATGGACTCGAGGGGAATCATCATCGAATGGAATCGACTGTAATCATCGATTGGACTCGAATAGAATCATCATTGAATGGAATCGAATGGAATCAACGAATGGACTCGAATAGAATCATCATCGAATGGAATCGAAATCAAAGAATGGACTCTAATGGAGTCATCATCAAATGGAATCTAATAGAATCATCTAATGGACCTGAAAGGAATCATCATTGAATGGAATGGAATGGAATCATCGAATGGACTCGAATGGAATCATCATCGAATGGAATCTAATGGAATCATTGAATGGACTCGAATGGAATAATCGAATGGGCTTGAGTGGAATCATCATCAAATGGAATCGAATGGAATCATCAAATGGACTCGAATGGAAACATAGTCAAATGGAATCGAATGGAATCATCATCAAATGGAATCGAATGGAATCCTCATCGAATGGAATCGAACGGAATCATCATGGAATGGAATCACAAAATTGAATCGAATGGAATGATCATCAAAGACAATCGAAGGGAAACATCGAATGGGATTGAACGGAGTCATCGAATGGAATCGATAGGAATCATCGAATGGATTCAAATGGAATCATCATCGAATGGAAACGAACGGAATCATCGAATGGACAGGAATGGAATCATCATCAAATAGGATTGAATGGAATCATCCAATGGCATCGAATGGAATCACCATTGAATGGAATCGAATGGAATCATCGAATGGCATCGAATGGAATCGTCATCGAATAAAATCAAATGGAATAATCGAATGTACTCGAATGGAATCATCAAATGGATTTGAGAGGAATCATCATCGAATGGAATTGAACAGAATCATCAAAAGGACTCGAATGGAATCCTCATTGAATGGAATCGAATGGAATCGTTGAATGGAGTCGAATGGAATCATCAGCAAATGGAATCGAATGGAATCATTGAATATCAACGAATGGAGTCATCATCGAATGGAGTCGAATGGAATCATCAAATGAACTCGAATGCAATCATCATAGAATGGAATCGAATGGAATCTTTGAATGGACCTGAATGGAATCATCATCGAATGCAAACGAATGGAATCATCATCAAATGGAATCACATGGAATCATCAAATGGAAAAGAATTGAATAATCATAGAAAGGAATTGAATGGAATCATCGAATGAAACCGAATGGAATCATCATCGAATGCAATCGAATGGAATCATCATCGAATGGAATCGAATGGAATCACCAACGAATGGAATTCAAAGGAATCATCATCGAATGGAACCAAATAGAATCATCAAATGGACTCGAAAGGAATCATCGAATGGACTCGAATGGAGTTGTCATCGAATGGAGTCAAATGGAATCATCGGACGGAATTGAATCGAATCATCATTGAATGAAATCGAATGGAATCATCGAATGGACTCGAATGGAAGCAATATCAAATGGAATCGAAAGGAATCATGGAATGCAGTCAAAGGGAATAATCAAATGGACTCAAATGGAATCAACATCAAGTTTAATCGAAAGGAAACATCGAATGGACCGGAATGGAATCATCATCGAATGGAATCGAATGGAATCATCGAATGGACTTGAATGGAATCACTATCTAATGGAACCGAATGGAATCATCATGGAATGGAACCGGAAGGAGTCATCATCAAATGGAATCCAATGAAATCATTGAATGGACTCGAATGGAATCATCATCAACTGGAATTGAATGGAATCATCGAACGGACTCCAGTGGAATCCTCGGAGAATGGAATCGAATGGAATTATCAAATGGACTCGAATGGAATAAACTTTGAATGGAATCGAAGGGAATCATCAAATGGAATCGAATGCTTTCATCGAACGGAATCGAATGGCATCACCGAATGGAATCCAATGGAATCACCATTGAATGGACTCGAATGGAATCATCATTGAATGGAATCGAATGGAATCATCGAATGGACTCGAATGGAATCATCATCGATTGGAATCAATTGGAATCATCGAATGGAATCGAAAGGAATCATCATCAACTGTAATGAACTGGAATCACTGAATGGAATCGAATGGAATCGTCATCAAAATTATCGAATAGAATAATCAAATGGAATCAAATGCAATCAACATCAAATGGAATCGAATGGAATCCTAGAATGACATCGAATGGAATCCTCATCGAATGGAATCAAAGGGAATCAATATCGAATGGAATCGAAAGCAATCACTGAATGGACTTGAATACAATCATCAAATGGATTTGAAGGGAATCCTCATTGAGTGGAATAGAACAAAAACATTGAATGGACACGAATGGAATCAACATCGAATGGAATCAAATGGAGTCATCAAATGGACTCCAATGGAATCATCATCAAATGGGATCATCATCAAATGTAATCGAATGGAGTCATCGAATGGACACGAATGAATGAACAAATGGACTCGAATGGAAACATCAAATAGAATCGAATGGAATCATCGAAAGGAATTGAATGGAATTATTGAATGGACTCGAATGGAATCATATAATGGACACGAATGGAATAATCATAAAATGGAATCGAATGGAATCATCAAATAGACTCGAATGAATGGAATCATTGAATAGACTCGAATGGAATCATCGAATGGACTCAAATGGAATCATCATCAAATGGAATCGAATGGAATCATCGAATGGACTCGAATGGAATCATCAAATGGAATCAAACCGAATCGTCATCGAATGGAATCGAATGGAATCATCGAATGGAATTGAAGGCAATCACCATCGAATGGAATCGAATGGAATCATCATCAAATCGAATCAAGCGGAAGGAATCATCAAATGGAATCAAATGGAATCATTGTTGAATGGAATGGAATGGAATCGTTGAATGGAATTGAATGGGATCACCAATGAACGGAATCAAATGGAATCATCTTCTAATGGAATCGAAAGGAATCATCAAATACACTCGAATGGAAATATCATCGAATGGAATCATGTGGAATCGTCGAATGAACTGGAAATGAATCATAATCAAATGCAATTAAAATGAATCATCATTGAAAGGAAACACATGGAATCATCATCGAATGGAATCATACGGAAACATCACAGAATGGAATTGAATGGAATCATCAGTTGGACTCGAATGGACTCATCAAATGTCCTCGAAGGGACGCGTCAAATGGACTCGAACGGAATCATCCTCGAATGGAATCGAACGAGATCATCGAAAGGACTCGAATCAAATCTTCAAAAGGACTCAAAGGGAATCATTGTAGAATGGAAATGAATAGAGTCATCAGACAGCCTCGAATGGAAGCATCATTGAATGGAATTGATTCCAAACATCGAATTCACTCGAATGGAATCATCATCGTATGGAATTCAATGGAATCATCGAATGGACACAAATAGAATCATCATCAAATGGAATCCATTGGAACGATCGAATGGAATCGCATGGAATTATCAAATGGAATCGAATGGAATCATCTTTGGATGGAATCAAATGGAATCATCGAATGGAATCGAATGCAATCATCATTGAATAGAATCGAATGGAATCATGCAATGGTATCCAAAGGAATCAACATTGAATGACCTCGCATGGAATCATCATCAAATAGAGTAGAAAGGAATCATTGAATGGACTCGAATGGAACCATCATTGAATGGAATCACCAAATGGAATCAAATGGAATCATCATCAAATGAAATCAAATGGAATCATCAAATGGAATCGAATGGAATCATCATTGAATGGATTCGAATAGAATCTTTCAATGAAATTGAATGGAATCAGCATGAAATGGAATCTAAAGGAATCATAGAATGGTATCGAATGGAATCATCATCGAATGGAATGGAATGGAATGGAATGGAATGGAATCAGCATCGAATGGAATCAAAAGCAATCATTCAATGGACTCTAATAGAATCATCGAATAGACTTGAATGTAATCATCATCGAATGGAGAAGAATGGAATCATCATCAAATGGAATCGAGTGGAATCATATAATGGACCCGAATGGAATCATCATTCAATGGAATAGAATGGAATCGTCATCGAATGGAATCGTATGGAATCATCTAATGGACACGAATGGAATCATCATCGAATTGAATAGAATGCAATCATCATCAAATGGAATCGAATGGAATCATCATCAAATAGAATCGAATGGAATCATCAAATGGAATCGAATGGAGTCATTGTCTAATGCAATCGAAAGAAATCATAGAATGGAATCCCATGGAATCAACATCGAATGGAATCGATGGGAATCATTATCAAATAGAATTGAATGGAATCACTGAATGGAATCATCATCAAATGGACTCCAATGGAATCATCGAATTGACACTAATGGTATCATCATTGAATGGAATAGAATGGAATAATCAAATGGAAACGAATGGAATCATCATCGAATGGAATCGAATGGTATCATCAAATGCACTTGAATGGAATCATCAATGAATGGAATCGAATGGTATAATCGAATGGAATCAAACGGAATCATCTTCGAGTGGAAACTAAAGGAATCGCCAAATGGACTCCAATGGAATAATCATCGTATGGAATCGAGTGGAATCATCGAATGTACTCGAATGGAATCATCGAATGTACTCGAATGGAATCATCGAATGGAATCGAATGGAATCATGGTCGAACGGAAAAGAATGGAATCATCAAGCGGACACGAATGGAATCAACATCTGATGGAATGGAATGGAATCATCAAATGGAATGGAATGGAATCATCATCGAATGGAATAAAATGGAATCATCAAATGGAATCAAATGGAATCATCAATGAATGGAATCGAATGGTATCATGGAATGGAATTGAATGGAATCGTCTTTGAGTGCAATGTAAAGGAATCACCGAATGGACTCCAATCGTCGGATGGAATCGAGTGGAATCATCGAATGTAGTCGAATGCAATCATCATCGAATGGAATTGAATGGAATCAACGAATGGAATAGAAAGGAATCGTAGAATGGACTCGAATGGAATCATCATTGAATGGAATCAAATGGAATCATCATGGAATGGAATTGAATGGAATCATCGAATGGACTTGAAAGGAATTATGCTCGAATGGAATCTAATGTAATCATCAAATGGACTCAAATGGAATCATCATCGAATGAAAACGTATGGAATCATAGAATGCAACTGAATGGAATCATTGAATGGACTTGTAAGGAATTATTATCGAATGGAATTGAATGGAATCATTGAATGGACTTGAAAGGAATCATCATCAAATGGAATCGAATTTAATCATTGAATGGACTCGAATTGAATCTTTGAATGGAATCGAATGGAATCATCATTGAATGTAGTCAAATGGAATCATCATCAAATGGAATTGAATGGAATCTTCATTGAATGGACTCGAATGGAATCATCATCAAATGGAATCTAATCGAATCATCAATGAAGGGAATCGACTGGAATCATCATCGAATGGAATCGAAAGGAATCATCAACAAGTGGATACGAATGAAGTCATCGAATGGAATTCAATGGTGTCATCGAATGGACATGAAAGGAATAATCGAAACGAATCAAATGGAATAACCATCGAATGGAATCCAAAGGAATCACCATCGAATGGAATGTTATGAAATCATCTCATGGAATCCAAGGGAATCATCATCGAATGGAATCGAATGTAATCATTGAATGAAATGGAAAGGAATCACCATCGAATGGAATGTTATGGAATCTTCTAATGGACTCGAAGGGAATCATCATCGAATGGAATCGAATGGAAACATTGAATGCAATTGAATGGAATCATCGAATGGAATCTGAATGGGATCATCAATGAATGGAATCAAATGGAATCATCTAATGGACGCGAATGGAATCATCATCGAATGCAATGAAATGTAATTCAATCGAATGGACATGAATGGAATCATCATTGAATGGAATCAAATGGAATCCTCATCGAATGGAATCGAATGGAATCATCAAATGGAATAGAATGGAGTCATCGTCGAATGTAATCGAATGTAATCATCGAATGGCATCGAATGGAATCATCGACTGGAAAAGAATGGAATCATCATCGAATGGAAATGAATAGAATCACAGAATGAAATCGAATGGAATCATCATGGAATGGAGTCTAATGGAATAATCATCGAATGGAATAGAATGGAATCTTCGAGTGGACACGAATGGAATCATCATTGAATGGAATCGAATAGAATCATCAAATGGACTTGAATGGAAACAACATCGAATGGAATCGAATTTAGTCACTGAATTGCATTGAGTGGAATCATCATTGAATGGAATCTAAGGAAATCATCGAACGGACTCGAGTGGAATATTCGAATGGACACGAGGGGAATCATCATCGAATGGAATTGACTGTAATCATCGATTGGACTCGAATGGAATCATGATTGAATGGAATCGAATGGAATCAACGAATGGACTCCAATAGAATCATCATCGAATGGAATCGAATGGAATCAAAGAATGGACTCTAATGGAGTCATCATCAAATGGAATCTAATGGAATCATCTAATGGACCTGAAAGGAATCATCATTGAATGGAATCGAATGGAATCATCGAATGGACTCGAATGGAGTCATCATCGAATGGAATCTAATGGAATCATTGAATGGACTCGAATGGAATAATCGAATGGGCTTGAGTGGAATCATCATCAAATGGAATCGAATGGAATCATCAAATGGACTCGAATGGAATCATCGTCAAATGGAATCGAATGGAATCATCATTCAATGGAATCGAATGGAATCCTCATCGAATGGAATCGAACGGAATCATCATGGAATGGAATCACCAAATTGAATCGAATGGAATGATCATCAAAGACAATCGAAGGGAAACATCGAATGGGATTGAACAGAGTCATCGAATGGAATCGATAGGAATCATCGAATAGATTCAAATGGAATCATCATCGAATGGAAACGAACGGAATCATCGAATGGACACGGATGGAATCATCATCAAATAAGACTGAATGGAATCATCGAATGGCATCGAATGGAATCACCATTGAATGGAATCGAATGGAATCATCGAATGGCATCGAATGGAATCATTATCGAATAAAATCAAATGGAATAATCGAATGTACTCGAATGGAATCATCAAATGTATTTGAGAGGAATCATCATCGAATGGAATTGAACAGAATCATCAAAAGGACTCGAATGGAATCCTCATTGAATGGAATCGAATGGAATCGTTGAATGGAGTCGAATGGAATCATCAGCAAATGGAATCGAATGGAATCATTGAATATCAA
The DNA here is from genome assembly GCF_000001405.40 of Homo sapiens. Lineage (NCBI taxonomy): Eukaryota > Metazoa > Chordata > Mammalia > Primates > Hominidae > Homo > Homo sapiens. The sequence goes on from NT_187648.1 coordinate 205,079, forward strand.
CGAATGGAATCATCATCGAATGCAGTCGAATGGAATCATCAAATGAACTCGAATGCAATCATCATAGAATGGAATCGAATGGAATCTTTGAATGGACCTGAATGGAATCATCATCGAATGCAAACGAATGGAATCATCATCAAGTGGAATCACATGGAATCATCAAATGGAAAAGAATTGAATACTCATAGAAAGGAATTGAATAGAATCATCGAATGAAACCGAATGGAATCATCATCGAATGGAATCGAATGGAATCATCATCGAATGCAATTGAATGGAATCATCATCGAATGGAATCGAATGGAATCACCAACGAATGGAATTCAAAGGAATCATCATCGAATGGAACCAAATAGAATCATCAAATGGACTCGAAAGGAATCATCGAATGGGCTCGAATGGAGTTGTCATCAAATGGAATCAAATGGAATCATCAAACGGAATTGAATCGAGTCATCATTGAATGAAATCAAATGGAATCATCGAATGGACTCGAGTGGAAGCAATATCAAATGGAATCGAAAGGAATCATGGAATGCATTCAAAGGGAATAATCAAATGGACTCCAATGGAATCAAAATCAAGTGGAATCGAATGGAATCATCGAATGGACTTGAATGGAATCACTATCTAATGGAACCGAATGGAATCATCATGGAATGGAACCGGAAGGAGTCATTATCAAATGGAATCCAATGAAATCATTGAATGGACTCGAATGGAATCATCATCAACTGGAATTGAATGGAATCATCGAACGGACACCAGTGGAATCATCGGAGAATGGAATCGAATGGAATTATCAAACGGACTCGAATGGAATAAACTTTGAATGGAATCGAAGGGAATCATCAAATGGAATCGAATGCAATCATCGAACAGAATCGAATGGCATCACCAAATGGAATCCAATAGAATCACCATTGAATGGACTCGAATGGAATCATCATTGAATGGAATAGAATGGAATCGTCATCGAATTGAATAGAATGCAATCATCATCAAATGGAATCGAATGGAATCATCATCACTGAATGGAATCTAAGGAAATCATCGAATGGACTCGAGTGGAATCATCGAATGGACTCGAGGGGAATCATCATTGAATGGAATCGACAGTAATCAACGAATGGACTCGAACAGAATCATCATCGAATGGAATCGAATGGAATCAAAGAATGGACTCTAATGGAGTCATCATCTAATGGAATCTAATGGGATCATCTAATGGACCTGAAAGGAATCATCATTGAATGGAATCGAATGGAATCATCGAATGGACTCGAATGGAATCATCATCGAATGGAATCTAATGGAATCATTGAATGGACTCGAATGGAATAATCGAATGGGCTTGAGTGGAATCATCATCAAATGGAATCGAATGGAATCATCAAATGGACTCGAATGGAATCATCGTCAAATGGAATCGAATGGAATCATCATCAAATGGAATCGAAGGGAATCCTCATCGAATGGAATCGAACGGAATCGTCATCGAATGGTATCACCAAATTGAATCGAATGGAATGATCGTCAAAGACAATCGAATTGAAACATCGAACGGGATTGAACGGAGTCATCGAATGGAATCGATAGGAAACATCGAAAGGATTCAAATGGACTCATCATCGAATGGAATCAAATGGAGTCATCCAATGGACTCGAATGGAATCATCATGAAATGGGATCATTATCAAATGGAATCGAATGGAGTCATCGAATGGACACGAATGAATGAACAAATGGACTCGAATGGAAACATCAAATAGAATCGAATGGAATCATCAAAAGGAATTGAATGGAATTATTGAATGGACTCGAATGGAATCATCTAATGGACACGAATGGAATAATCATAAAATGCAATCGAATGGAATCATCAAATGGACTCGAATGAATGGAATCATTAAATGGACTCGAATGGAATCATCGAATGGACTCAAATGGAATCATCATCAAATGGAATCGAATGGAATCATCGAATGGACTCGAATGGAATCATCAAATGGAATCAAACCGAATCGTCATCGAATGGAATCGAATGGAATCATCGAATGGAATTGAAGGCAATCATCATCGAATGGAATCGAATGGAATCATCATCAAATGGAATCAAGCGGAAGGAATCATCAAATGGAATCAAATGGAATCATTGTTGAATGGAATGGAATGGAATCATTGAATGGAATTGAATGGGATCACCAATGAACGGAATCAAATGGAATCATCTTCTAATGGAATCGAAAGGAATCATCAAATACACTCGAATGGAATCATCATCGAATGGAATCGTGTGGAATCGTCGAATGAACTGGAAATGAATCCTAATCAAATGCAATTAAAATGAATCATCATCGAAAGGAATCACATGGAATCATCATCGAATGGAATCATACGGAAACATCACAGAATGGAATTGAATGGAATCATCAGTTGGACTCGAATGGAATCATCAAATGTACTCGAAGGGACGCGTCAAATGGACTCGAAAGGAATCATCATCGAATGGAATCGAATGGGATCATCGAAAGGACTAGAATCAAATCTTCAAAAGGACTCAAAGGGAATCATTGTAGAATGGAAATGAATAGAGTCATCAGACAGCCTCGAATTTAAGCATCATTGAATGGAATTGATTGGAAACATCGAATTCACTCGAATGGAACCATCATCTGATGGAATTGAATGGAATCATCGAATAGACACAAATGGAATCATCATCAAATTGAATCCATTGGAACGATCGAATGGAATCGCATGGAATTATCAAATGGAATCGAATGGAATCATCTTTGAATGGAATGAAACGGAATCATCGAATGGAATCGAATGCAATCATCATTGAATGCAATCGAATGGAATCATTGAATGGTATCCAAAGGAATCACCATTGAATGCCCTCGCATGGAATCATCATCAAATAGAGTAGAAAGGAATCATTGAATGGACTCGAATGGAACCATCATTGAATGGAATCACCAAATGGAATCAAATGGAAACATCATCAAATGAAATCAAATGGAATCATCAAATGGAATCTAATGGAATCATCATTGAATGGATTTGAATAGAATCTTTGAATGAAATTGAATGGAATCAGCATGAAATGGAATCTAAAGGAATCATAAAATGGTATCGAATGGAATCATCATCGAATGGAATGGAGTGGAATGGAATGGAATGGAATCAGCATCGAATGGAATCAAAAGCAATCATTCAATGGACTCTAATAGAATCATCGAATAGACTTGAATGTAATCATCATCGAATGGAGAAGAATGAAATCATCGAATGGACCCGAATGGAATCATCATCAAAAGGAATCGAATGGAATCATATAATTGACCCGAATGGAATCATCATTGAATGGAATAGAATGGAATCGTCATCGAATGGAATCGTATGGAATCATCTAATGGACCCGAATGGAATCATCATCGAATTGAATAGAATGCAATCATCATCAAATGGAATCGAATGGAATCATCATGAAATAGAATCAAATGGAATCATCAATTGGAATCGAATGGAGTCATTGTCTAATGCAACCGAATGAAACCATAGAATGGAATACCATGGAATCAGCATCGAATGGAATCGATTGGAATCATTATCAAATAGAATTGAATGGAATCACTGAATGGAATCATCATCAAATGGACTCCAACGGAATCATCGAATTGACTCTAATGGAATCATCACTGAATGGAATGGAAATGAATAATCAAGTGGAAACGAATGGAATCATCATCAAATGGAATCGAATGTTATCATCAAATGCACTTGAATGGAATCATGAATGAATGGAATCGAATGGTATAATCGAATGGAATCAAATTGAATCATCTTCGAGTGGAACCTAAAGGAATCGCCAAATGGACTCCAATGGAATAATCGTCGTATGGAATCGAGTGGAATCATCGAATATACTCGAATGGAATCATCGAATGCAATCGAATGGAATCATCGAATGTACTCGAATGGAATCATGGTCGAACGGAAAAGAATGGAATCATCAAGTGGACACGAATGGAATCAACATCTAATGGAATGGAATGGAATCATCAAATGGAATGGAATGGAATCATCATCGAATGGAATAAAATGGAATCATCAAATGGAATCAAATGGAATCATCAATGAATGGAATCGAATGGTATCATGGAATGGAATTGAATGGAATCGTCTTTGAGTGGAATCTAAAGGAATCACCGAATGGACTCCAATCATCAGATGGAATCGAGTGGAATCATTGAATGTCGTCGAATGCAATCATCATCGAATGGAATTGAATGGAATCAACGAATGGAATAGAAAGGAATCATAGAATGGACTCGAATGGAATCATCATTGAATGGAATGAAATGGAATCATCATGGAATGGAATTGAATGGAATCATCGAATGGACTCGAAAGGAATTATGCTCGAATGGAATCTAATGGAAACATCAAATGGACTCAAATGGAATCATCATCGAATGAAATCGTATGGAATCATCGAATGCAACTGAATGGAATCATTGAATGGACTTGAGAGGAATTATTATCTAATGGAATTGAATGGAATCATTGAATGGACTTGAAAGGAATCATCATCAAGTGGAATCGAATGGAATCATTGAATGGACTCGAATTGAATCTTTGAATGGAATCGAATGGAATCATCATTGAATGGAGTCAAATGGAATCATCATCAAATGGAATTGAATGGAATCTTCATTGAATGGAATCGAATGGAATCATCATCAAATGGAATCTAATCGAATCATCAATGAAGGGAATCGAATGGAATCATCATCGAATGGAATCGAATGGAATCATCAACAAGTGGAAACGAATGAAATCATCGAATGGAATCCAATGGTGTCATCGAATGGACACGAAAGGAATCATCGAATGGAATCAAATGGAATCACCATCGAATGAAATCAAATGGAATCACTATCGAATGGTATGTTATGAAATTATCTCATGGACTCGAAGGGAATCATCATCGAATGGAATCGAATGGAATCATTGAATGAAATGGAAAGGAATCACCATCGAATGGAATGTTATGGAATCTTCTAATGGACTCGAAGGGAATCATCATCGAATGGAATCGAATGGAATCATTGAATGCAATTGAATGGAATCATCAAATGGAATCGAATGGAATCATCAAATGGAATCTGAATGGAATCATCAATGAATGGAATCAAATGGAATCATCTAATGGACGTGAATGGAATCATCATCGAAAGCAATGAAATGTAATTCAATCGAATGGACATGAATGGAATCATCATTGAATGGAATCAAATGGAATCCTCATCGAATGGAATCGAATGGAATCATCAAATGGAATAGAATGGAGTCATCGTCGAATGTAATCGAATGTAATCATCGAATGGCATCGAATGGAATCGTCGACTGGAAAAGAATGGAATCATCATCGAATGGAAATGAATAGATTCACAGAATGAAATCGAATGGAATCATCATCGAATGGAGTCTAATGGAATAATCATCGAATGGAATAGAATGGAATCATCGAGTGGACACGAATGTAACCATCACTGAATTGAATCGAATAGAATCATCAAATGGAATTGAACGGAAACAACATCGAATGGAATCGAATTTAGTCATTGAATTGCATTGAGTGGAATCATCATTGAATGGAATCTAAGGAAATCATCGAATGGACTCGAGTGGAATCATCGAATGGACTCGAGGGGAATCATCATCGAATGGAAACGACTGTAATCATCAATTGGACTTGAATGGAATCATAATTGAATGGAATCGAATGGAATCAACGAATGGACTCGAATAGAATCATCATCGAATGGAATCGAATGGAATCAAAGAATGGACACTAATGGAGTCATCATCAAATAGAATCTAATGGAATCATCTAATGGACCTGAAAGGAATCATCATTGAATGGAATACAATGGAATCATCGAGTGAACTCGAATGGAATCATCATCGAATGGAATCTAATGGAATCATTGAATGGACTCGAATGGAATAAGCGAATGGGCTTGAGTGGAATCATCATCAAATGCAATCGAATGTAATCATCAAATGGACTCGAATGGAATCATCGTCAAATGGAATCGAATGTAATCATCATCAAATGGAACCGAATGGAATCCTCATCGAATGGAATCGAAAGGAATCATCATGGAATGGAATCACCAAATTGAATCGAATGGAATGATCATCAAAGACAATCGAAGGGGAACACCGAATGGGATTGAACGGAGTCATCGAATGGAATAGATAGGAATCATCGAATGGATTCAAATGGAATCATCATCGAATGGAAAGAACGGAATCATCGAATGGACACGAATGGAATCATCATCAAATAGGATTGAATGGAATCATCGAATGGCATCGAATGGAATCACCATTGAATGGAATCGAATGGAATCATCGAATGGCATCGAATGGAATCATCATCGAATAAAATCAAATGGAATAATCGAATGTACTCGAATGGAATCATCAAATTGATTTGATAGGAATCATCATCGAATGGAATTGAACAGAATCATCAAATGGACACGAAAGGAATCCTCATTGAGTGGAATCGAATGGAATCATTGAATGGAGTCGAATGGAATCATCAGCAAATGGAATCGAATGGAATCATTGAATAGCAACGAATGGAATCATCATCGAATGGAGTCGAATGGAATCATCAAATGAACTCGAATGCAATCATCATAGAATGGAATCGAATGGAATCTTTGAATGGACCTGAATGGAATCATCATCGAATGCAAACGAATGGAATCATCATCAAATGGAATCACATGGAATCATCAAATGGAAAAGAATTGAATAATCATAGAAAGGAATTGAATAGAATCATCGGATGAAACCGAATGGAATCATCATCGAATGGAATCGAATGGAATCATCATCGAATGCAATTGAATGGAATCATCATCGAATGGAATCGAATGGAATCACCAACGAATGGAATTCAAAGGAATCATCATCGAATGGAACCAAATAGAATCATGAAATGGACTCGAAAGGAATCATCGAATGGACTCGAATGGAGTTGTCATCGAATGGAGTCAAATGGAATCATCGAACGGAATTGAATCGAATCATCATTGAATGAAATCAAATGGAATCATCGAATGGACTCGAATGGAAGCAATATCAAATGGAATCGAAAGGAATCATGGAATGCATTCAAAGGGAATAATCAAATGGACTCAAATGGAATCAACATCAAATGGAATCGAAAGGAATCATCGAATGGAACGGAATGGAATCATCATCGAATGGAATCGAATGGAATCATCGAATGGACTTGAATGGAATCACTATCTAATGGAACCCAATGGAATCATCATGGAATGGAACCGGAAGGAGTCATCATCAAATGGAATCCAAGGAAATCATTAAATGGACTCGAATGGAATCACCATCAACTGGAATTGAATGGAATCATCGAACGGGATCCAGTGGAATCATCGGAGAATGGAATCGAATGGAATTATCAAACTGACTCGAATGGAATAAACTTTGAATGGAATCGAAGGGAATCATCAAATGGAATCGAATGCAATCATAGAACGGAATCGAATGGCATCACCGAATGGAATCCAATGGAATCACCATTGAATGGACTCGAATGGAATCATCATTGAATGGAATCGAATGGAATCATCGAATGGACTCGAATGGAATCATCATCGATTGGAATCAAATGGAATCATCGAATGGAATCGAAAGGAATCACCATCAACTGTAATGAACTGGAATCACTGAATGGAATCGAATGGAATCGTCATCAAAAAAAATCGAATAGAATAATCAAATGGAATCAAATGCAATCAACATCAAATGGAATCTAATGGAATCATAGAATGACATCGAATGGAACACTCATCGAATGGAATCAAAGGGAATCAATATCAAATGGAACCGAAAGCAATCACTGAATGGACTTGAATACAATCATCAAATGGATTTGAAGGGAATCCTCATTGAATGGGATAGAACAAAAACATTTAATGGACACGAATGGAATCATCATCAAATGGAATCAAATGGAGTCATCAAATGGACTCGAATGGAATCATCATCAAATGGGATCATCATCAAATGGAATCGAATGGAGTCATCGAATGGACACGAATGAATGAACAAACGGACTCGAATGGAAATGTCAAATAGAATCGAATGGAATGATCGAAAGGAATTGAATGGAATTATTGAATGGACACGAATGGAATCATCTAATGGACACGAATGGAATAATCATAAAATGCAATCGAATGGAATCATCAAATGGACTCGAATGAATGGAATCATTAAATGGACTCGAATGGAATCATCGAATGGACTCAAATGGAATCATCATCAAATGGAATCGAATGGAATCATCGAATGGACTCGAATGGAATCATCAAATGGAATCAAACCGAATCGTCATCGAATGGAATCGAATGGAATCATCGAATGGAATTGAAGGCAATCATCATCGAATGGAATCGAATGGAATCATCATCAAATGGAATCAAGCGGAAGGAATCATCAAATGGAATCAAATGGAATCATTGTTGAATGGGATGGAATGGAATCATTGAATGGAATTGAATGGGATCACCAATGAACGGAATCAAATGGAATCATCTTCTAATGGAATCGAAAGGAATCATCAAATACACTCGAATGGAATCATCCTCGAATGGAATCGTGTGGAATCGTCGAATGAACTGGAAATGAATCATAATCAAATGCAATTAAAATGAATCATCATCGAAAGGAATCACATGGAATCATCATCGAATGGAATCATACGGAAACATCACAGAATGGAATTGAATGGAATCATCAGTTGGACTCGAATGGAATCATCAAATGTACTCGAAGGGACGCGTCAAATGGACTCGAACGAAATCATCATCGAACGGAATCGAATGGGATTATCGAAAGGACTCGAATCAAATCTTCAAAAGGACTCAAAGGGAATCATTGTAGAATGGAAATGAATAGAGTCATCAGACAGCCTCGAATGGAAGCATCATTGAATGGAATTGATTGGAAACATCGAATTC